>NC_000014.9:36884440-37187470 GCF_000001405.40 Homo sapiens
TGCAGTTATCTCTTCAATATACCTATTTCATTTCCTTTGGATATACACCCAGAAGTGGGATTGCTGGATCATATATGGTAATTCTATTTTTAGTTCTTTGAGGGACCTCAATACTGTGTTCCATAATGGCTATACTAATATGCATTCCCACCTATAATGTATGAGGGTTCCCTTTTCTCCACAACCTTGCCAACACTTTTTATCTTTCATCTTTTTAGTAACAGTGATTCTCACAGGTGTGAGGTGATATCTCATTGCGGTTTTAATTTGCATTTCTCTGATGATTACTGATGATGAGCATTTTTCTATATGTCTGTTGGCTGCCTGTATGTCTTTTTTTGAGAAATATCTCTTCAAGTCCCTTGCTCATTTTTAATGGGGTATCTGTTTTCTTCCTATTATTTGAGTTCCTTATATATTTTGAATATTAGTCCCTTGTCAGATGTGGTTTGCAAGTATTTTCTCCGAACCCATGGGTTGTCTATTCACTCTCTTAATAATGCCCTTTGCTGTGCAGGAGGAGCCTTTTAGTTTGGCGCAATTCCATTTGTCTATTTTTGCTTTTGCTGCCTGCGCTTTTGGGGATATATCCCAGAAATCTCTGCCCAGACAGATGTCATGTCTATGTTTTCTTCTAGTAATGTTACAGTTTCAGCTCTTACGTTTAAGTCTTTAATCCACTTTGAGTTGATTTTTGTACATGATGTGAGATAAGGATCAAATTTCACTGTTCTGCACGTGGATATCCAGTTTTCCCAACACTATTTATTGAAGAGACTGTGCTTTTTCCATTGTATGTTCCTGGCACCTTTGTGGAAAATCAATTGACCATAAATGCATGGGTTTATTTGCAGGTTCTCTATTCTGTTCCATTGATCAATGTGTCTGTTTTTATGCCAGTACCATGCTGTTTTGATTACTATAACTTTGTAATAGGTTTGGAAGTCAGGTAGTGTGATGCCTTCAGCGTCATGTTTGCTCGAGGTTTGCTTTGGATATTCAGGGTCTTCTGTGGTTCCACACAAAGTTTAGAATTATTTTTTCTATTTCTGTGGAAATTAAACTGGAATTTTGATAGAGAGTACATTGAATCTGTATATCATTTTGAGTAGTATGGACATTTTAACAATATTAATTCTTCCAACCTATGAACACAGGGTATCTTTCCATTTACTTGTATTGTCTTCATGATACTGTTTTAAAGAGGAAGTAAGTGTACTGATAAGTTTTGAGTCTGTATGTATCCTGTAAGCAAAACAGAGGAATTATGTGTCTAAAATAATTTTGGTAAGTAGTATTTTATGGAGCACAAAATATCTTAACATCTCAGTAAACTGCAAAGCAGTGCAGACCAACAATTGGAGCATTCAGGATTCCCTGAGATGCCAGTTACAAGTGAAACCTGTTTTCTTTTTATCAGGCCCAAATCTTTGCATTGTACTACTGCCACTTCCTTGATGTTTTCGAATTAAATCCAAGACCCCTCTTATGTTCTCTGAAGTTCACACTGTTTTAACCATTTACTTAACTGATTTTGTGTAATATTCTTAAGTCTTTAAAACATAAAAAAATACTTTTATATTTTAAAGGGAACCATAGAGGAATGAATGGTTTCAAACTGTGCAGATTTCAAATTCAAAAACAGAACAACTACAGACAGAACTGATATATTTTCATCTGCTCTAGTAGTCAAGCAAATCATTACAACATCCTATTTGATAGCCTGCCCAGAAAATGTAGTAGCCCTACTCAATTATAAGCAATGTGAGACTCATAAAGGGAAATCAAATATATTATACTCTCCCCTAATAATAGTTAAGGTGCACTACCTTTGTGGCACAGTAAATTAATATTATACACACTGAATTGGCCAAATAGGCAACGTGATTTGGCAGGTTTGAAAGATGTTGTTAAAAGTTATGCGTTTGAGCAAGCCACAGCCTCCCTTGAAAAACTTGCAAACACTTTCACATAAGTTTACCATGTGCGTATATTTTTTAAACGTAACTAACACTAAGCAATGGCTGTTAGCATGTGTCTATAGGGAATGCAGTTTTCCTCACTGTATACTCCCTATTCTCATAGAGTTTACTTTTAACTCACTGAAGAATTTAGGGAAATATATTTCAGAGGTATAAACCATATGCACACATTATGGTCTAGAAATCACGGTAAATGGAGCATGTCTAAAGGAGGAAGAAAAGTTGAGACAGAGTTTTAAAATAAGTGAGTTTTTTTTAACTCACACTTTGAATGCAAAGATAGGCTGAAAATTATTAAACTAATGAAAATCTCACCTGTAAACAAAGTTTTTATGTAAGTCAATTTCAGCTCAATATAATGTCTTTAAAAAATATTGTTTGGTATTTTAACTCAATAGAAGTTATTCTTGTCTTCCTCTTTGTTATTTAACTCTATTTTAGACCCCAAGCAAGCTCCACATACACTTGGGTAAGTGAACCAATTTTCAGATGTGTTGGTCTTTTATGGAAGCTTACTGCTATATGTGGGCTTTTACCACAATCAACAATGCAACGAGAAACACCAGGGGGAAAATAAGGTGTGGATTAGTTGGCAGAAGGAAAAATTCTTTTGAGTATATAAAATGTCTTTAAAGAGAAGGAAATGTGAAGAAAATAGAGAGAAATAGAGGGCCACTTGTTTTATAGATTATATCTACATATGTTCTGTAATGTCTACATATTCATATATATTACATATAAATATGTATGAATATGTGAGATATGTAATGCATGCACATGTGTGTCTACATATATATATATATATATATTCATTCAGAAAAAGTTTGTATTGTATTTTGCTTATCTAAAGTGAAAAAAAGGCCAGGCGCGGTGGCTCACACCTGTAATCTCGATACTTGGGAGGCCGAGATGGGCAGATCATGGGAGCTCAGGAGTTTGAGACAACCCTGGCCAACATGGTGAAATCCCATCTCTACTAAAAATACAAAAGTTAGCTGGGCGTGGTGGTGCACACCTGTAATCCTAGCTACTTGAGCAGCTGAAGCAGGAGAATCGCTTAAACCTGGGAGGCGGATGTTGCAGTGAGCAGAGATCACGCCACTGCACTCCAGCCTGGGCAAGACAGCAAGACTCCATTGCAAAAAAAAAAAAAGGAAAAAAATTGTTCATGCTGACCAGCATTTCAACATTGGAAGGTCATTAAAATCCAGAAAGGCAGCTGAAGGAGGGGTTTAAGCTCTATGGCTTGGGGAAGAGGGCAGCTTATAGAGTACCAGGACCTCTATTTCAACTCCACACAAGACTTGCCCATTTCTGGGGACTCTGTTTGCTTTCTACCTCTCTATCAACCAGAAAGATACATATATTTTTCTCTTCTCAGAATTTCTTCTTTCTCTCTCACAACTTCTATGGAATTAGTTTTCCTTTCTTCTTTGATTTAATTGCCTAAAAAGAAGCTCTCAGTTTGACACAAGAGTCAGGAACAGATTGTGCTCCACCCTGCCCACCCCTCCAGAGACGTGCTGAAGCTGACTCTCACAGGCCAGGGTGTATGCCACACTTTCTCACTTGCATTCAGCGGCATCATGTTAGTAGCTCAAAATTGGCCATGGTGGGAGTATTTACACTAAGGAAGCTGGCAAATGCTATAAATCACAGTTTTTGTTTGTCTGTTTTCCAGGGAGGCAATTGTGAAACACTTACCAGCATGCTACTGCCCAAATCTGACCATAAATTCTGTTGCTTAGCCTACTAGGTTCAAATAGCTTTACAATTATAGTATATGGAGGGTCATTTTTAAAAATCTCCAGTAGTTCTTTAACTTTGCTAATTGCAAATTTCCAAAGGTGCCATAAAGTTAATCTTTAGCTTATATTCTCTGTTCATCACAATTTAATAATAAAAATTATGATCCTACATCAGAATTTTAAAAAATTCCTTAGAAAGTGATATTCAAGAAAACCAACCGACTTGCCAACCCACCCAACATGCCTGTGATTTGCCACTCTACTGTGCAGAAGTTTCTATTATGTTGACCACATAGAAATTAAGCAATGAGAGCAAATTATACAGATTATATCTATATATGTTCTGTAATGTCTATATATTCATATATATGTTATATATATAAATATGTATGAATATGTGAGATATGTAATGTGTCCATGTGTGTGCACAGGAAAATAGCTTCCTCCCTCTGTGCCCTTCCTACGGTGTATCTTACAAGAAGAAAGAGGAAATGTTGCTTCAAAGTCTGTTCAACCTTTAGCCATTCATTAGATGTACAGAAACAGGTGGAAGACCTCAAGCAAATACACATCATCTTACTAAATGAAGAATTCAGATTTGTAGGTCACAGGTAGCCAGGTCTTTTCTTCCCATTACTCATGGACACCTGTTACCATTAAAGAAAAAGAAAATGAAATTGTAATGCTTTTTCCCCACTCTAACTAGCATTACTTCTTGCAATCATATTCATCTTGACAGAGTAAATGACTTCTGACCATTAGCTTTCTTTAATATGTAGCCAAAATTGCTTGCGTTTAATTAATCACGCTGCTACAATACTTGTCTTTAGGTGTCAGCTTTTAATTTTATATTTGCTGATGACCTGGAACCATAGCTACACAAATTCTTTTTGAACTGTTATTCTACACTGGCCTCTTTGCTATGCTCCCATGAATTCTGACTTACTGAGCCAAGTATTCCAGGTAAATTCCATACACATATCCTTTATCATGGTCTGGCTTGTGGGGGAAAAGAGGGAGAAGGTTGACTCCATTTCACAGATTCCTTTTATAGGCAGCCATATAGTTTAATCACACAAGATTTCTACTAGGTGTGGATTAATTAGGATAATCTTTATTTCCACAAGAAAAACTTACCAAAATGAAACTGACTGCATGTCATGTAAAATAAGTGCCAGCTGAAGAACAATATTTGGATACCAAAGTATAAGAAATTACAGAAATACAAAGGTAGATACATTTCATAACATACATATTTAGTTGTAATAACATTGAATACATTAGTACTGATGGGAAACATTATCTTAATCAATTAATTAATTTGATTGATGTTAGAGACAGGGTCTTATTCTGTTGTTCAGGCTGGGGTGCAGTGGTGCAATCATAGCTCACTGCAGCCTCAAACTCCTGGGCTTAAGCAATCCTCCCACCTCAGCCTCCTACATATCTAGGATTACAGGCATGTACCACTATGCTCAGCTATTTTTTAATTTTATTTTTTTTGTAGAGACAGGGTCTCCACATGTTGTCCAGGCTGGTCTCAAACTCCTCCTCAAGCAATCCTCCCACCTCAGCCTCCCAAAGTGCTAGAATTCCAGGTGTGAGCCACAACACTCAGCCTTAAATAAAAATTAATGTTTGATTTCAGTTAATATTCTTAAATTACTAGCTCACTAAACAATATTTGCCTCTATGGCCTTCATCCCAACAAGCACCTTGGGATGCTTCTTTGCAACATTAAATTCTTTTTCAACATTAAATATGCTTTATCTCCCTTTTCTAGGTGTTGGACAAGTTCTTGTCCAGGACAGTTTTCATTCAACACATATTTTTTGAGTGCCTACTGTGTACATAGTGCTTCCAGCATAGTTCTAGATGCTAGTTTTCTTCTGGCTTATAATTTCACAGGGTAATAGGAAGCAAGGTTGTCAACCTAGAGTGAGGATAAGGAAGGGGATTTGGAGAGAGCAGGGGGAGGTATGAAATAGTCTTCTGCAGGAGGGAGGAAGGGATTGGGCCAGGAAAACATCATAAAATTACTGAGTAGCACTGAGAATCCATTTGAGGCCAATCGTCATGCATGTAAAGTGTCATTTTTGTCTACTGACATTCAGCTGTGTGGGTTTAGGAAGACTCACATTTAACCAGGTTAAGCTTTTGCCAAATGAATATGAGGAAATGACAGAGGGCAAAGGCATGAGTGCATGGCAGCGAGTAATTATAATGATTGGCCAAGGACTTAGGCTTGCAAGGAGGGAATTGAGGACATGATGGGGATGAGAACATGGTATTGAGAGTAGAGGCTTGTTGGTCCTGCTGGAATCAGGATACTGGAGGGAGAGAGGCAGAAAATAAGAGATGAAGTTAACACTAAGATAACTACTAAGTCCCACTTGTATTCATCTACAGTAACTACTAACATTTGGATTTTTTCACTGTATCCTCAATGTCCAGGATAAGGTACACCACAACATCCATGAAGTAAATGAAAATGTCAAATAAATAAAAGTTTGAATTTATAATTGAGTAATATCAAGTACCTGAAGAGCAACCACGTGGAGGAGTAACACATTCACCATTCCCTGAACTAGATTCAGATGTTCTCTTTGTTTTGATTGGATCTCCAAAGTTCACTTGAGTTTATGATTTAACAACTGTTTAAGTAATATCCTATAATGACCACAATATGTACACTTTAAGTAGTCAATATACCTAATAGTCAATGCATGTCGTAAAGAAATGCAAAAAATTTGAAACACTGAATAAAACAAGTGTACAAATACAGGCCTCCAAAGACGGGTTACTTTTCTAAGAACCAAAATACAACTGCCTTGAAAGACTTGTAATCGACAGTATTAAGTCCTCAAAAGTAAATGGATACATTTCATACTCATATTCCAAGACAAGGTTAGATACCAACGAATGAAAAACCTATTTTAAAGGACCTAATCATCTTTTCTAGGAAAGGCGGTGGCCCTAACTTTCTGTCAATCAATATAAAATGTATTAGCACTAAAAGAATCTCTTGATGGATGAAAATTATAACTCTGAAAATCTCCCTTGGAATTCTACAGGGTGACTACAAAGTCTGAAAACATATATGAATAAACATAATGTCACCAAGGGCATTGTAAATCCTTAAAAAAGTAAATTAACATTTATCTATTTTCCAGATTTCATAATCTGTTGGTGACTTCATAGGAGAGGTATGAATTCTGTATTCACTCAGTGACTGGATTTAGCTACCAGGTAATTTTTGAATAAATAGAGCAAAATGTGAAGAGCAACATTTCTATTATAACTCTGATTTCTTCATGTGCTGCTTTGATGCTACAAGGATCAATTTCTTCATTTATTCTCTTATACACTAAAGTATATATAGGCAACATGCAACACAATGGCAGAAACTAAAAGGAGTATTTATACTCCTGGGAACAATACTGTAGCACCAGCAAAATCTATTCCCTCTTTTTTTTCATGTTTCATGATGTCACAGCAAGATGGCGTTTCCCAGAATCTCTTGAGTGTAGCCATGTGACTAACTTTTCACCTATGGATAGGAGAGGCAGAGCGCGTAAGACTATGAATATGTCTCTTCAATACCCGATTTCCCCTTCCCACTAACTGGAACTTCAAAGAGGCAGTGATTTAAGTTATACCTTACAAATGACAAAGAATAGTCTAGGGGATTGTGGAGCAACCAGTGGCAGGAACCTGTGTCACATAGCGACCATGAAGAACAGAGATTCTGTGCTGACCTGGAAATTACAATCAGGGCTGCTACATGAAAGAGAAATAAGCTTGTTGTTCCTTAAGCCACTATATTGTTAGATCCCTGATGTAGTGGTTAAGCATTACCCTGATCAAACGGTGCCATCACAGACTTGCTAACCACATTATGTGTCCAAACATAGTTTGTCAGACAAAAGACAACAAGTGTTGGCAAGGATGTGGAGAAAAGGGAACCCTCACACACTCGCTGGGAATGTAAATTAGTACAGCCATTATGAAAAATAGTATGGAGGTTCCTCATAAAATCAAATAAAGAACTATCATCTGATTCAGCAATCCTACTACTGAGTATATATATACAAAAGAAATTAAATCAGTATGTTGAAAACATATCTGAACTCCAATGTTTCTTGCAGTTCATTCTGAGAGAGATATATTTAATGCTCCGATAATGCCAAAATGTGGAATCAACCTAAGTGCCCATCAGTAGATGAACGGATACAGGAAATGTGGTATATATAAACAATGAAATGCTATTAAGCCATAAAAAGAAGGAAATCCTGTGATTTGCAACATGGATGGTCTTAGAAGACATAATGTTAGTTAAATAAGGCCAGGAACAGAAAGACCAATACCACATAATCTCACTTTTTTTTTTATTATACTTTAAGTTTTAGGGTACGTGTGCACAATGTGCAGGTTAGTTACATATGTATACATGTGCCATGTTGGTGTGCTGCACCCATTAACTCGTCATTTAACATTAGGTATATCTCCTAATGCTATCCCTCCCCACTCCCCCAACCCCACAACTGGCCCCGGTGTGTGATGTTCCCCTTCCTGTGTCCATGTGTTCTCAATGTTCAATTCCCACCTATGAGTGAGAACATGCGGTGTTTGGTTTTTTGTCCTTGCGATAGTTTGCTGAGAATGATGGTCTCTAGCTTCATCCATGTCCCTACAAAGGACATGAACTCATCCTTTTTTATGGCTGCATAGTATTCCATGGTGTATATGTGCCACATTTTCTTAATCCAGTCTATCATTGATGGGCATTTGGGTTGGTTCCAAGTCTTTGCTATCGTGAATAGTGCTGCAATAAACATACGTGTGCATGTGTCTTTAGCGCAGCATGATTTATAATCCTTTGGGTATATAACCAGTAATGGGATGGCTGGGTCAAATGGTATTTCTAGTTCCAGATCCCTGAGGAATCGCCACACTGACTTCCACAATGGTTGAACTAGTTTACAATCCCACCAACAGTGTAAAAGTGTTCCTATTTCTCCACATCCTCTCCAGCACCTGTTGTTTCCTGACTTTTTAATGATTGCCATTCTAACTGGTGTGAGATGATATCTCACTGTGGTTTTGATTTGTATTTCTCTGATGGCCAGTGATGGTGAGCATTTTTTCATGTGTCTGTTGGCTGCATAAAAGTCTTCTTTCGAGAAGTGTCTGTTCATGTCCTTCACCCACTTTTTGATGGGGTTGTTTTTCTTGTAAATTTGTTTGAGTTCATTGAAGATTCTGGATATTAGCCCTTTGACAGATGAGTAGATTGCAAAAATTTTCTCCCATTCTGTAGGTTGCCTGTTCACTCTGATGGTAGTTTCTTTTGCTGTGCAGAAGCTCTTTAGTTTAATTAGATCCCATTTGTCAATTTTGGCTTTTGTTGCTGTTGCTTTTGCTGTTTTAGACATGAAGTCCTTGTCCATGCCTATGTCCTGAATGGTAATGCCTAGATTTTCTTCTAGGGTTTTTATGGTTTTAGGTCTAACATTTAAGTCTTTAATCCATCTTGAATTAATTTTTGTATAAGGTGTAAGGAAGGGATCCAGTTTCAGCTTTCTACATATGGCTAGCCAGTTTTCCCAGCACCATTTATTAAATAGGGAATCCTTTCCCTATTGCCTTTGTCAGGTTTGTCAAAGATCAGATGGTTGTAGATATGCAGCATTATTTCTGAGGGCTCTGTTCTGTTCCATTGGTATATATCTCTGTTTTGGTACCAGTACCATGCTGTTTTGGTTACTGTAGCCTTGTAGTATAGTTTGAAGTCAGGTAGTGTGATGCCTCCAGCTTTGTTCTTTTGGCTTAGGATTGATTTGGCAATGTGGACTCTTTTTTGGCTCCATATGAACTTTAAAGTAGTTTTTTCCAATTCTGTGAAGAAAGTCATTGGTAGCTTGATGGGGATGGCATTGAATCTATAAATTACCTTGGCAGTATGGCCATTTTCACGATATTGATTCTTCCTACCCATAAGCATGGAATGTTCTTCCATTTGTTTGTATCCTCTTTTATTTCCTTGAGCAGTGGTTTGTAGTTCTCCTTGAGGAGGTCCTTCACATCCCTTGTAAGTTGGATTTCTAGGTATTTTATTCTCTTTGAAGCAATTGTGAATGGGAGTTCACTCATGATTTGGCTCTCTGTTTGTTGGTTATTGGTATATAAGAATGCTTGTGATTTTTGCACATGGATTTTGTATCCTGAGATTTTGCTGAATTTGCCTATCAGCTTAAGGAGATTTTGGGCTGAGACAATGGGGTTTTCTAGATATACAATCATGTCATCTGCAAACAGGGACAATTTGACTTCCTCTTTTCCTAATTGAATACCCTTTATTTCCTTCTCCTGCCTGATTGCCCTGGCCAGAACTTCCAACACTATGTTGAATAGGAGTGGTGAGAGAGGGCATCCCTGTCTTGTGCCAGTTTTCAAAGGGAATGCTTCCAGTTTTTGCCCATTCAGTACGATATTGGCTGTGGGTTTGTCATAGATAGCTCCTATTATTTTGAGATACTTCCCATCAATACCTAATTTATTGAGAGTTTTTAGCAAGAAGCATTGTTGAATTTTGTTAAAGGCCTTTTCTGCATCTATTGAGATAATCATGTGGTTTTTGTCATTGGTTCTGTTTATATGCTGGATTACGTTTATTGATTTGTGTATGTTGAACCAGCCTTGCATCCCAGGGATGAAACCCACTTGATCACGGTGGATAAGCTTTTTGATGTGCTGCTGGATTTGGTTTGCCAGTATTTTATTGAGGATTTTTGCATCGATGTTCATCAGGGACATTGGTCTAAAATTCTCTTTTTTGGTTGTGTCTCTGCCAGGCTTTGGTATCAGGATGATGCTGGCCTCATAAAATGAGTTAGGGAGGATTCCCTCTTTTTCTATTGATTGGAATAGTTTCAGAAGGAATGGTATCAGCTCCTCCTTATACCTCTGGTAGAATTCGGCTGTGAAGCCATCTGGTCCTGGACTTTTTTCGGTTGGTAAGCTATTAATTATTGCCTCAATTTCAGAGCCCATTATTGGTCTATTCGGAGATTCAACTTCTTCCTAGTTTAGTCTTGGGAGGGTGTATGTGTCAAGGAATTTATCCATTTCTTCTACATTTTCTAGTTTATTTGTGTAGAGGTGTTTATAGTATTCTGTGATGGTAGTTTGTATTTCTGTGGGATCAGTGGTGATATCCCCTTTATCATTTATTATTGCATCTATTTGATTCTTCTCTCTTTTCTTCTTTATTAGTCTTGCTAGCAGTCTATCAATTTTGTTGATCTTTTCAAAAAACCAGCTCTGGATTCACTGATTTTTTGAAGGGTTTTTTGTGTCTCTATTTCCTTCAATTCTGCTCTGACCTTAGTTATTTCTTGCCTTCTGCTAGCTTTTGAATGTGTTTGCTCTTGCTTCTCTAGTTCTCTTAATTGTGATGTTAGGGTGTCAATTTTAGATCTTTCCTGCTTTCTCTTGTGGGCATTTAGTGCTATAAATTTCCCTCTACACACTGCTTTGAATGTGTTCCAGAGATTCTGGTATGTTGTGTCTTTGTTCTCATTGGTTTCAAAGAACATCTTTATTTCTGCCTTCATTTCGTTATGTACCCAGTAGTCATTCAGGAGCAAGTTGTTCAGTTTCCATATAGTTGTGCGGTTTTGAGTGAGTTTCTTAATCCTGAGTTCTAGTTTCATTGCACTGTGGTCTGAGAGACAGTTTGTTATAATTTCTGTTCTTTTACATTTGCTGAGGAGAGCTTTACTTCCATCTGTGTGGTCAATTTTGGAATAGGTGTGGTGTGGTGCTGAAAAGAATGTATATTCTGTTGATTTGGGGTGGAGTGTTCTGTAGATGTCTATTAGGTCTGCTTGATGCAGAGCTGAGTTCAATTCCTGGATATCCTCGTTAACTTTCTGTCTCGTTGATCTGTCTAATGTTGACAGTGGGGTGTTAAAGTCTTCCATTATTATTGTGTAGGAGTCTAAGTCTCTTTGTAGGTCTCTAAGGACTTGCTTTATGAATCTGGGTGCTCCTGTATTGGGTGCATATATATTTAGGATAGTTAGGTCTTCTTGTTGAATTGATCCCTTTACCATTATGTAATGGCCTTCTTTGTCTCTTTTGATCTTTGTTGGTTTAAAGTCTGTTTTGTCAGAGACTAGGATTGCAACTCCTGCCTTTTTTTGTTTTCCATTTGCTTGGTAGATCTTCCTCCATCCCTTTATTTTGAGCTTATATGTGTCTCTGCACGTGAGATGGGTTTCCTGAATACAGCATACTGATGGGTCTTGACTCTTTATCCAATTTGCCAGTCTGTGTCTTTTAATTGGAGCATTTAGCCCATTTACATTTAAGGTTAATATTATGTGTGAGTTTCATCCATGTCATTATGATGGTAGCTGGTTATTTTGCTGATTAATTGATGCAGTTTCTTCCTAGCCTTGATGGTCTTTACAATTTGGCATGTTTTTCCAGTGGCTGGTACCGGTTGTTCCTTTCCATGTTTAGTACTTCCTTCAAGAGCTCTTTTAGGGCAGGCCTGGTGGTGACAAAATCTCTCAGCATTTGCTTGTCTGTAAAGTATTTTATTTCTCCTTCACTTCTGAAGCTTAGTTTGGCTGGATATGAAACTCTGGGTTGAAAATTCTTTTCTTTAAGAATGTTGAATATTGGCCCGCACTCTCTGCTGGCTTGTAGAGTTTCTGCCAAGAGATCAGCTGTTAGTCTGATGGGCTTCCCTTTGTGGGTAACCCGACCTTTCTCTCTGGCTGCCCTTAACATTTTTTACTTCATTTCGACTTTGGTGAATCTGACAATTATGTGTCTTGGAGCTGCTCTTCTCGAGGATTATTTTTGTGTTGTTCTCTGTATTTCCTGAATTAGAATGTTGGCCTGCCTTGCTAGATTGGGGAAGTTCTCCTGGATTATATCCTGCAGAGTGTTTTCCAACTTGGTTCCATTCTCCCCATCACTTTCAGGTACACCAATCACACGTAGATTTGGTCTTTTCACATAGTCCCATATTTCTTGGAGGCTTTGTTCATTTCTTTTTATTCTTTTTTCTCTAAACTTCTCTTCTCGCTTCTTTTCATTCATTTCATCTTCCATCACTGATACCCTTTCTTCCAGTTGATCGAATCGGCTACTGAGGCTTGTGCATTCGTCATGTTCTTGTGCCTTGGTTTTCAGCTCCATCAGGTCCTTTAAGGACTTCTCTGCATTGGTTATTCTAGTTAGCCATTCGTCTAATTTTTTTTCAAGGTTTTTAACTTCTTTGCCATGGGTTCGAACTTCCTCCTTTAGCTCAGAGTAGTTTGATCGTCTGAAGCCTTCTTCTCCCAACTCATCAAAGTCATTCTACGTCCAGCTTTGTTCCGTTGCTGGTGAGGAGCTGCATTCCTTTGGAGGAGGAGAGGTGCTCTGATTTTTAGAGTTTCCAGTTTTACTGCTCTGTTTTTCCCCATTTTGTGGTTTTATCTACCTTTGGTCTTTGATGATGGTGACGTACAGATGGGGTTTTGGTGTGGATGTCCTTTCTGTTTGTTAATTTTCCTTCTAACAGTCAGGACCCTCAGCTGCAGGTCTGTTGGAGTTTGCTGGAGGTCCACTCCAGACACTGTTTGCCTGGGTATCAGCAGCAGAGGCTGCAGAACAGCAGATATGGGTGAACAGCAAATGTTGCTGCCTGATCGTTCCTCTGGAAGTTTTGTCTCAGAGGAGTACCTGGCCGTGTGAGGTGTCGGTCTGACCCTACTGGGGGATGCCTGCCAGTTAGGCTACTTTGGGGTCAGGGACCCACTTGAGGAGGCAGTCTGTCCATTCTCAGATCTCCAGCTGCATGCTGGGAGAACCACTACTCTCTTCAAAGCTGTCAGACAGGGACATTTAAGTCTGCAGAGGATTCTGCTGCATTTTGTTTCACTATGCCCTGCCCCTAGAGGTGGAGTCTACAGAGGCAGGCAGGCCTCCTTGAGCTGCAGTGGGCTACACCCAGTTCGAGCTTCCCGGCCTCTTTGTTTACCCACTCAAGCCTCAGCAATGGCAGGCGCCCCTCCCCCAGCCTCGCTGCCACCTTGCAGTTTGATCTCAGACTGCTGTGCTAGCAATGAGCGAGGCTCTGTGGGCGTAGGACCCTCCGATCCAGGCACAGGATATAATCTCCTGGTGTGCCATTTGCTAAGACCGTTGGAAAAGCGCAGTATTAGGGTGGGAGTGACCCAATTTTCCAGGTGCCGTCTGTCACCCCTTTCTTTGACTAGGAAAGGGAATTCCCTGACCCCTTGTGCTTCCTGGGTGAGGTGATGCCTCGCCCTGCTTTGGCTCA
Source organism: Homo sapiens (assembly GCF_000001405.40). Classification (NCBI taxonomy): domain Eukaryota; kingdom Metazoa; phylum Chordata; class Mammalia; order Primates; family Hominidae; genus Homo; species Homo sapiens. Next base: position 36,898,516 of record NC_000014.9, read on the forward strand.
CTCTCAGTGTGCTGCACCCACTGTCCTGCACCCACTTTCCGACACTCCCCAGTGAGATGAACCTGGTACCTCAGTTGGAAATGCAGAAATCACCTGTCTTCTGCGTCGCTCATGCTGGGAGCTGTAGACTGGAGCTGTTCCTATTCAGCCATCTTGGCTCCATCCCCCAATCTCACTTATATGAGAAACCTAAAACAGCTGATCTCATGGAAGTGGAGAGTACAATGGTGGCCACCAGAGCTGCCAGTGGGTGTGGGGTGGTGCAGTGGCCAGGGAGATGTTGATCAAAGGATACACCATTTCCCCAGCCTGTCCTTGGATAGGATGAATACATTTTGAAAGGCCTGTTGTACAACATGATGACTTTAATTAACAAAATATTGTATTCTTGAAAATGCTAAGAGAGTGGATGTAAAGTGTTCTTAACACAAAAACGGTAACTATGTGGAGTAATGTATGTGTCAATTGGCTAGATTTAGTCAGTCCACTATGTATCTAATACAAATTAGTACAATTGTACTAATTTACAAAACATCATGTTGTACACAATAAACACAGACAATTTTATCTGTCAATTAAAAAATAAATTTAAGGTTGGGTATGGTGGCTCATGCCTATAATCCCAGCACTATGGGAGGCCAAGGCAGTAGAATTGCTTCAGGCCAGGTGCTCAAGACGATCCACGCAAACATAGCAAGACCCTGTCTCTATTTGAGAAAAAAACTAAAATTGAGGTAAAATAAAATGAAAATGAAAAGAAAAAAAAATGTTTAAGTAGAGTTCAACATCAAAACACAACATTCTGGAAAGAGGATCCCAAAGCATATCATGATGTCTAATAAAGGAAGACAAATTATAAATAACCAAATCTGCATACAAAATAGGGTTTCAACCTACTCTTGAATGCAAATTGACAAAATGGCACCGTCTCCGAACTAAATTCAACTTACACCAAGGAAGAAATGGGATTGGCCCTTCTTGCCTACAGGGAGAATGGTAGCATCATGAAGTGTGCAGAGACCAGGGCCAGGAGGCTTCACTGGGTTCATTCAAGCTGCATCTGAGGTTTCTCTTGCCTTGCAATGGGTTTGGGAACATCAGTAACTGAAAACTGAGTCCAAGTATGTGAGATTTAAACTCACTGTGGAAGATACAGTTCAAGTTAGACCATCATATAGTTATTAAAATGAGCAGAATCTAAAATGCCATTGTCTACAAAAACTGAAACAATACTGTTTCTTCCACTGCAGGGTTTAATTTATTCAGCATTTATTTCAGGCAACTTGAAAGATACTCTTAAAAGGGGATAATTGTGTTTTAAAATGGTGTTTTCTGGGGTGAACACATATTTCATGTTTTCTGTTTTACCTTACTAGTGAAAAGCTGGAGGAATTTGTATGAGAGAAACAATGCTGTCTTATTCATCCAGGTAGTCAATTCCAACAAAAATAATTTGTCAGGACTCTTTTGGTTGTATGAGAGAAAATTCAACACCAACTGGCCTAAACACAAAGGAGGAATTTGTTGGCTCATAAATGAACTGACGGAAATGGCAGGGATGCTTGGCTCCAAGACTCTTTCTCACATGCCCTCATCTGTTTGTCCCTGCTTGCTTTATTCACTCCTGCTTCAGAGAAGCACACTGCCTCTGAAAGCCTCCACCTCCTGTCCTGTCATCTTTATGATGCAAGAGGCAAGCAGAACTCTGCTTGCTCCAGAAGATAAATCCCTAGAAGGGCTTCGATTGGCCTCACTTTAGTCACATGTGAATCCCTGGCCAATTGCTGTGGCCAGGAGGATAGGGACATCTCATTGGTAGAGTTTTAGGCACATGTGTACTCCTGTATGGAGGACTATCGAGAAGGTCAGAGCTTTAAATCTCTGCGCAACATCTCTTTCTTTGTAATTTGAAAAATGATAAGACTGGGTTTGGAATATTCAAATGACACTTTTGCTGCTTCCTACCCTATCTAACTTTTAATCTTAATTAACTGACTCCTTTCCACACTACTAACAACCCAATGACAATGGTACTGGGATTAACTAATTGCACTTCATCTCAAAAAACACCTTTCCTATTAGGAATTCTAATTTATAGTTTGGTTATTCTATGTTCCTGTGAGATTAGCAAACTTGGAAAGGAAATGAAATGGCTTGAGTTTTAAATACACATTTAGTTCATAAGATGTTATGTTAACTTGTGGATAAGGCCCTGGCTCACCTAAACTTGTCATTTATAAAGTATTTATCATGTCAGGGAAGGTGTGCAGAAATAGGGAAGACATAATCTCTACTTGAAAGATTTACATAACAACTCTGGGAGCCATTGCAATAGGGCATTTTGATTATTAAAACTGTGAACTGCTTCCTGGAAGGGCAAATAGAGGTAACTTTGGCTGCATGTTACAATCCACAATTCAATTTGGCATAGCATCTTGCATAAAAGTGTATCCCAAACCACTTTACAGAAGTGAAATTTCCGTTCTCAAGCCAATATATGCTATATATTACAGAACAGCTGTGTGCAAACATTGCCTCATGGAAAAAAAAATCTAAGACATTAGGTCATGAGATGAAAACCCAAAGGAGAATTTAGGAGTAAGGACCAGTAGAGCTGGAAAGAGGGAGAAGAGCAGAGACCGATAAGAAAGGAAACACATTAATTTGCAAGATTTAGGAATGGATCTTTGATGAGTTGAAGATATATCAGACACTTTTTTCCCCAGAAAATGTTGTGAGACAATCTTTTTATATAATCCAAAGGAGTAGAAAAGGTTAAATAAACAAAAAGTATGAGGTAAAGACTGATAAGCCTTCCAAATAGTAGCACAAGTAGATGGATTAGTAATCTCATAGTCATATGGAATAAAGGCAATAATATTCTGTATTTTGAGTTAATCTGAACTATGGTAAACTATTACCTATATAGATTAGAGGATAAGATGTACTTTTAAAGCTAACTACATAAGCATAAACTCTATAAATGAACTGCATTTAAAAATAAATAGAATTTTATAAAACATATTTAATACTAACACAAATCAATTAGAATATACACTTTTAGAATCGTGCTTGGTTTCAAGAAAACATAAAAATATTATTTTTTATTTTGGTTTTAGTTGTAAAAGTACCAGTTAGTGGAAAATTGTATCTAACAAATAACAGGGCATTTGCAGTACTTAAACTGAATCCATAATATAGAATTCTGCTTTAAAACCTAATCAGTTTAAGTAAAAATTACTCCCAAGGATATAGAAAGGCAAAATAAAGGCTATTTAGATTTTCTATAATTTAAATAACAGTAAACTATTTTTTAAAACTTCCTGTTCTTCATTCTGAATGTTCACTTAAAGCTTAAGTTTCTGCATCAAATGTCATCTTCATAGCCAATTAATCTTCTATGCACTGTGTATGACAAACATTCAAGTCCCATGAACTCCAAGGTCATCCATTTAACAAGAGGTTTACATGACTCATTAAAAGTTATGCATTCTTTTAAGGGGATATACTTTTGAGTATTGGAGTTTTCCACATAAAAATATGATTAACTCTGTACCTTGTGTAAGTTACTTATGTTTGGCATCTACCCATTTAAATTTGGCAGATATCTCATTTTACATGACACATATAACACTATGCAGGAAGAATGAAGAAAGTAAATCCATATTGTATTATTTCCCCAAATGTGTGGAAATACTGGATTCCTCAGACAACCTTGAGAAGCTTTCCAGAGACTATTCTGATGAGGGTTGTAGCTATGCTGTTTAGGTTGTCCTTGCCAGTCACAGTCTTATACCAGAGTCCAGCCATCCCAGTGATTACACAGGTAGGGTCAAAGATGACTATTCAGCCTGTGCTAGCTCTACTCTGGTGGCTAGTGTCTCAACTGTGCCATTCTCTAAGGAGCGAAGTATCGTATAGTAAAACACACACACACACACACACACACGAACTCTGAAAATCTGGGTTTGAGTTTTGTATCAAGTTTCACAAATCACATATTCCAGGGGTTCTTAACCTGTGGTCGGATTTTGGAAAAAGGAAGGTGTTCATAAACTACTAGAAATTATATGATAAATTTGTTTTTAAGTTTATTTTGGTTTGTGCTAGTGTTAATTTTTACGGCAGAGGAGGCCATGACTTTTGACAATTTCTTCAAAATTTCTATATTCCCAAAATGTTCAAAAACTACTTATTGTGGCGGGGCACAGTGGCTCATGCCTGTAATTCCAGCTTATTTAGCGGCCAAGGTGGGACAATTGCTTGAGGCCAGGAGTTCCAGACTAGCTTGGGCATCTCTACAAAAAATAAGAAAAGAAATCAGCTGGGCATAGAGGCTTATGCCTGTAGTCCCAGATACTCAAGAGACTGAGGCAGGAGGATTGCTTGAGGCCAGGTGGTTGAGGCTACAGTGAGCCATGATTGCACCACTGTACTCCAGCTTGGGCAAAACAAACAAACAAAACCAAAACAACAACAACAACAAACCTGACTCACTGAGCTTCAGTTTTCTTCTTTGTAAATGGGAATAAAAATAATAGTGGTTCTACTGGCCTCACACAGTTGCCTTGAGAACCAATTTAAACAGAGTGTAGAAGTACACTATAAATCATCACTGCACAAACATTTGCTATAACTAGCCTTGCTGCCATTATGTTTTTATCAGTTTATGTGAACATTTCTGCTTACACAATGTCATGAACAAGGAACTCAAAATCTTCTCTTTCTTTCAAGAGCCATTTCATAGCTCGCCCAAGCATTCAGCAATGGAGACTGAGGCCCTGTATCCAGAAAATGGCCCACAGATGTGTTTTGTTCAGTTCACATAGTGTTCTTTTAAAAATAAATTGCTTTGGGAGGCCAAGGTGGGTGGATCACTTGAGGTCAGGAGTTCGAGACCAGCCTGGCCAACATGGTGAAACCCCGTCTCTACTAAAAATACAAAAAATTAGCCAGGCCTGGTGGTGCATACCTGTAATCCCAGCTACTCGGGAGGCTGAGGCAGGAGAATCGCTTGAACCCAGGAGGTGGAGGTTGCAGTGAGCCAAGATTGTGCCACTGCATTCCAGCCTGGGTGACAGAGTGAGACTCCGTCTCAGAAAAAAAAAAAAAAAAAAAAAAAAAAAAATTGGTCGCCAAAATTTAAAAATCAGGAGTTTTCACATAAAAAAAAATCAGAGTTCTAGATTGCTTGATAAACTAAAATAAACATCTGGCTTCCTTGAGTCACTCTCCCACCATTCAACAACCTGCTGGAGCTGAGTTTAGGAACATGTGCTCCTCAGTTGAAGCCAGCTCCCTTGCTTCCCTCCTCTGACTTTCGGATTAGCCATGTAAGTGTCCAAGCTGAAAGCTGATTCTAAATCGAACTAAGCGCAATCACTTTGCTTTGAAAATATATGCAAGAAAGTGTCACTCTTGCCTTTTTTTGTTCTTAGAAAGTTCTTTCAAACTTCAAATACAGAATAGTTAGAATAAACGCTCAGGCAATTGAGGACAAACTGTCAATATTTTCCACGAATACTGCTTTTCCTATGACTGAATTCTTGTCCTTTGAAAGAGCATCCTCTGACAAGAACAGTGAATGGCAAGACCCATTACATAATTATAAGATCCAAGAAAGAGGCAGGTGATGCGATTGAGGGGGACGCTATAGGCTTAGCCAATGGGAAATCCCGACCCAGATTCAAAAATTGACCACGCGTAAGTCAATAGATATGGAGAAATAAATGGGTTGCTCACATATCATTCGGGAGAATCTGAAATAAATCAGCAACTCAAAGGGCCATCTAGTTTTGTCTTGAGCAAAAATGCCACTTTTAAGGGTAAGAAAATTATAAAATACAGAATGGTTTTTCCCTTAAATTTCAAAGGTTGCAAGAGATTTTTGCAAGCCTAATTTCTCTGGAACTTAATAGGAGAAAGAGCCTCTAGGAAAATTGAAAATGTATGGAAAATATAACTAAGGAAGTTCTTGATTTTTCTCCCTCTTCAATCAAATGTTCTCTCGTTGTATTAGTCTGTTCTCACACTTCTGTAAAGATAATACACAAGACTGGGTAATTTATAAACAAAAGAGGTTTAATTGACTCACAGTTCCACATGGCTGGGGAGGCCTTAGAAAACTTACAATCATGGCAAAAGGAAAAGCAGGCACCTTCTTCACAATGTGGCAAGAGAGAGTGTGAGTGTGTGGAGGAGGAACTGTCAAACACTTATAAACCCATCAGATCTCTTGGGAACTCACTTACTATCACGAGAACAGCATGGGGGAAATCGCCCCCATGATCCAATCACCTCCCACCAGGTCCCTCCCTGGACATGTGAAGATTATGGGGATTACAGTTCAAGATGAGATTTGGGTGGGGACACAGCCAAATCATATCACTCGTGTTATGAAGGGCCCCCAAATTATGAGGAGGCCACTGTGGATTACAATGAAGTAGCAAAACTGGCCCAGGTAAACCTATTTAGATATGATTAGAATGAATCCTACTCCCTTCCAAAATAATTGTTAAATTCTAGGCCAAAATTATTGGTTCTAAGGTACACTCTATTTTTCTAAAATTGGTGCTACTGGCATTAGAATTTTGATTCCAAAGAAGACTATAACAATTACCTTGACCTATGAAAGATTTCAAGATTTATACAGTCATTACCAAACTACAATTTATGCTGGATCATGAACTATGGTAAATGCTTCAGCAAAAGCTATGTGGTGTAACAGAGGCCACCCATTTCAGCAGAATAGGCTGTAGGAAGTTTTTCTAAACCTAATTGCAGGGGCCATTTGGGTTAGAGTGAGGTTGCACTGTAAATCTGCCATTCTTAGAGGGCCAACTTTCTCAATGCATATTGAATCAATATTCCTGCTATGAAACTGTGTAAGCTAGATTCTGTGCCACTGTAGTAAAATGCTCCTCAATAAACTTGTTTTCACAAGAAGCTTGCCCACTCATGCGTCCCAAAGCTGTTGTAATCTTCATTGTTGAGGCTGATCTAACAGCAGGAACATTATTCTATTTCTTGACATGTTTAAAGTTCTCTAATGAATAAAGCTAACAGCTTATGGCTGCTACGACTGTCACTTGATTACCCCGAAGGGATTTTTTTTTTTGTCTTTAAAATTGGCCTCCTAGTTTGTTTTTAACTACTTTGTGCACAGAGGTCTGAAGGAGAAAGCAGATCAAAGATAGGCTAGCAACATAAAAAGCAGCTGTAGTTAATTAAAGGCAAATGAAGGACATCTGACCAGATTCTTTATGAGCCGCCTTGTCACACATTCAACAGTCTATAATCTCTGTGACCTTGTCCCTTGATCCTGAACTGTCGCCAAACCTGAGAAATGGATATGGCTCAAGTTATATACAAATGGAAAAAGGGAAGGGATATTCAGGGTGTGGCTTAAGAAAGAGGAGGTAACGTGGCAGAAGAACACAATGACAGTGAAGTGACCGGCGATATGCAGAAGTCACCCAGGGTTTCCGTTATAAAGCAGTGAGTCTTTCCCATATTCAAAATAATTTGTCCTAAAGAGGTAAATGTAGGTAATCAGATTATAAAAGGTACTATTTGGGAGGTGAAACTAATACTTATTCTCCTATGATTTGAAAGAAAATGAATTAAAAATATTTTTACAGTATGCACTATTTGAATTTTTCAAGCATTATAATTGTTCCTATTTTTAAAAAGTGATTCAAATCTAAAGCACTTAAGTAAAACAATGACTTTTTCTAAGTTGAAAAGGAATATATGTTCATTCAAAAAATAAAAAATTCCAGAAACATGTAAGAAAATAAAATTTCCCCCAAATCAGAGAGAATTCTGTCAAGATTTATATTTAAATCAATAGAAAAATATTTGGGATACAAATGGTAGGGAAAAAAGCAGCAAAGTAGCACAGTGCCTATGGTTGTAGATGGCCAAGATGACTCTAATGCATGGATGATGAAGCAACAGGTCTAGATTCTGGGAAGTTGTTTAATTTCTTTCCTTCCTTTTTTTTTTTTTAGATGGAGTCTCACTCTGTCGCCAGGCTAGAGTGCAGTGGCATGATCTCGGCTCACTACAACCTCTGACTGCCTGGTTCAAGCTATTCTCCTGCCTCAGGCTCCCAAGTAGCTGGGATTACAGACATGCGCCACCACACCCAGCTAATTTTTGTATTTTTAGTAGAGACGGGGTATCACCATGTTGGCCAGGATGGTCTCGATCTCCTGACCTCATGATCCACCCCCTCAGCCTCCCAAAGTGCTGGGATTACAGGTGTGAGCCACCATGCCCGGCTGGGAAGTCATTTAATTTCTATCAGCATCAGGAAAATGGCTGTGAGGGTCTGCACTGGTCCTTAAAAATGCATCTCCAGCATAGACAAAAGAAAAGCCATTGCAGTTTGTATGATCTCCAAAGCAACTGGACAGCTCCTGTCTCTGCCTGTTAACTTACTTTCTAGAGGCCCAGAAAAACACATACCATGCCCTCTATGGAGATTGGGGATCATTGGAAAAATGCCAGCTTCATAGCATTGTGTAAGAAAATAGGGGGATCGTATCTCTAGGAAGGCTTTGAAAACTGCAAAGTAATACTTATTATCTATTATTAGCAATAATTGAGATGCTATGGAGGACACCAAAATCAATAAGGACCTACCTTTGAGAGTTTTTTATCATGTACTTGGAGGAACAATATAAACAAAAATAAAATGTCAATAAAAAATTGAACATAAGTTCAACTTTACAGTGTAAGATGTGTGCAAGGTAACCATCAAATCAACTGCAAAAATCTGAGAAGAGGCTATGAAGTAAAGAGCATATATTTTTGGCTTGTTTGTTTTGTTGGTTGGTTGGTTGGTTTTGTTTAATTGACAGATAAAATTGTGTGTATTTACCATGTACAACATATTTTTTGAAGTATGTATACATTGTGGATGCTTATTTTTTTAAAAAAACCTATCAGAACTAACCGACACAAACGAGTGCTACCCTTTCAAAGTTTTCACCTTGGCTATCATCTACAAACGTACTAAAAATACATTGCCACCAACTAAAACATTTTTGGTCTTTATAAGATTCCCTTGAGCTTGTGGTATATAATCTTAAATAACCAATAGGCGTTTTTGAAGATGGATTAGGTTTTTGGAACGAACCAAGCATCAGATGGAACTAAGAGTGGTAAATACAGAAGCTTATCAGACTGGATGATATTACCTTAGATGCCAAAAGAGATATGGCCACAGAATAATGAAACTGATCACTGTGTGAAGGGTAAGTTATTTCTAAAAAATGTTCCAAGGGTGGGTGTCCAAAAATATTTGTATTAGGGCAGCACATTGAAATAAGGTACAGTTCAAGGAATAATATTGAATTCAGTGAATAAGTTCCGATTTCTTCTTTATTTAAAAAGTACTGCTTACTTTATATTCACACTTTGTAATTGCACAGGACTTCAGAGAAGGGAAATATGGAAAAGCTTTACAGTTTAATTCGGATTTGCTATTAAAGGACATAGAAGATATGGTTGGGAGAACAGACAAAGAGTGAATTTCAGGGAGGTGGAATGATATGTAAAAAATGATGATGGGGCACAGAGGATTTTTAGGGCAGTGAAAACTCTGTATGATACTATAATGATGAATACATGTCATTATACATTTGTCCAAATCCATAGACTATACCACACCAAAAGTGAACCCTAATGTAAACTATGGCCTTTGATATAATGATATGTCAATGCAGGTTCACTGTGACAAATGTACTACTCCGGTATGGAATATTGACAGTGGGGGCATCTCTGCATGGGCCTCTGTACTTTCTGCTCAATTTTGCTGTGAAGATAAAACTTCCCTAAAAAGTCATCTATTTAAAAAATGATGGTGGGAAAGCATACAGCATTGATGAGGAATGAGATGAAAGAAGAATTAGAAAGCATTCCCAGCAAAGGATAAAACACTAAATGAGATGGCCAAGTCCCAAGAAATGAGAGTATTTTATTATGCACCGCACTATCCAGTAGAAGTTTCTTCCATAATGGAAATCTTTTATGATTTCCATCCTATCCAATATGGTAGCTACTAGCCTCATGTGGCTATTTAGCATATAAAATGTGGCTAGTATGACTGAAGAAATAATATTTTGTTTCTATTTACTTTTAATAAATTTAAATCTAAATAGCCACATTGCTGTGGTTGTGGATACTTATATTGGATAGCTCAGGGCAGAGCACAGAGTGATATGGTGGTTGTCATGAGAAATACAGATGGAGGGTTAAGTAGGTGGTAGCTAGATACTGGAAGAGCTTCCAGTTATGTTAAAAAGCATTAAATTTACCCCCAAGGAAGATGAGAAACTAAGAAAAAAATGAAGAAGGTAACTAGCATAATTGATTTACTATGCTTTGAGTCTCAGGGCTTCAGTGAAAAGAATGGTATAGGTTTGGGGTGATAGTTTACTTGGAGGCAGAGGTGCCAAGGAAGAGGCTGTTGAATAATCCAGGCAAGAGTGTCCATAACCAGGATAGGAGGTGGCAGGGAAAATAGAGGGACTTAAGGGACATTTTAGAGATAAAGAGAAGGATGCATTGGAAGAATGAGGGAGGGAGAAGGAATAGATAACATGAGACTTGAGAATGGTAGATGGTGGTGCCATGCACTGAAAAACAGGTTTGAGGTGACATCCATGAAACCAGTAGGGACACTTTGAGTACGAGGGGTCTGGTAGGCAACCAAATGGGATGATACGCAGTTAGAAGCCTTGCACATACAATGGCCACTGCAGCCTTGCAAGGGGATGAGACCCTCCAGGGTAAGTCTGAAAGTGAGAAGATAAGATGCAAAGGACAAAACCCCAAGGAGCACCAATTCCCTGATATGATTTGTTTGCTTTTAAGTCAGTTTCATTTTCACCTCTGTTCAGGACAAATAGTAAAGCGTATTCAACTGCACTGGATATGAGCCTTTTAAATAAAATCCCCAAACTCACAGTCTCAGAACCTCACAGTTCTTTCTAAATAGGCAAGTCCTTGGGATTCTCTCCTCACTGTCAACCACATTTTTAGGACACACTGACATATAGAAAGTATTATTCCAAATTCATGGGTTTTTCTTCTCATTCAGGACATAATGTCAGATAAAGCAGAATAGACTTGAATGCAAAAGAGAAAAATTTACTGGTAACATAACCTATATTAACTAAATATGCTTTAAAATAAATTAATAAGTAAACAGTTGTCAAGAAAAAATCTGCCAGTGCATCTCTGTCCTGTAAATTTTTATCAAACAAATGTCCAGTGCCCCTCCTACATCAGTAAACCACCTACAAGTAATCACAACATGAAACAAGGGAATATATAGATTTTTTTTTAAGTGGAAGCATAATACAAACTCTCCTACCTAAATACGAACATTGGCAGTACCATTCCAAAGAACTGTAGTTTATTAGCAGTTTTTACTACACAAATCAGAGCATTAAAGAGGGTGCCAGTGCTTCTACATGACACTTGTAATCATGAAGTGTAAAGGGATATAAGCGCTACTCTCAATTATTCAGGTGTATCAGACTGTCAAATGCTCTTATTTGGGAAAGCAGACCTAATAAATTCACTGAGATGTTACTTGCTATACCTTACATATTTATAAAAACTAGGAGCCGATGCAAGTCTAAGTACAGAGATCATCATGGATCACTCTTATTTCAGGAATTCAACAGACACTTCTCCATAAATAGATTACAACTGATCCTGCATTGGGTCGTTCTTTCATTGAATGACCTCTATTACTTAGCGTCTATAAAGTATCAAAGCCTAGGGGGTTTTGAGTGTCAAGGTGAGCAGTTTGGACTTTACAAGTATGAAAAAGAAAGGTGTTAAAGCGATGGGAGATGAGATAGAGTACGGTAGCAACAGGACCTCACCATATTTCTAAAGGGAGAACTCTTGCACCAGAATTAGAGTGCAAAAAGTTGTGATTATTTGGGAAGGTTTTGTAACATTAGCTTGGATGAGAAAAAAATAGTGCCTGGAATTGGAAGTGGTGCTGGGGACAGAGAGAAAGGAATTAATCAGAAATATATTTAGAAGTTGATGTGAAATGAAGAAATAACTTTGAGGTTATTACCTGGGGGAATTCAATAGATGGTTTTGATCATATGAGGTATCTCTAAAGATTTTAATCATTTCGTGGCCTCTATTTGTGGTCTTCTCCTAGAAGTATCATGAAAATGCTAAGCATTCATTAGTGGCTTATTTCGGAATTACAGTCATTTCATCACTGAACAGCCCTGTCAATTAGTTAATGAACTGTAAAATTCTTAACTGAACCAGGAAGAGTTCTTTACATTAATTCTCTAAATCAAAGATGTTTTTAGTTGTATTCTGTTAATTCTGATTTGCTTCTCTAAACGAATTGTTACTTATCCTTCAGTGTGCTTTCTATTCCTATGTATTGTGATAAAAAAGTTAATTAGGTTTTAATATGATCAAAAGGAAATTAAACCCAGCCTGTTAGTTTTCTCACAAGCATCATCATACCACAGATTTCTTACAGTTCAGCAGTGGCCATGAAGCAGGGACCTTCTACTCTTATGATGGCATTTCTTGTATCACTCCTACTACTGCTGATACAACTACTAATTCTATTACTACTACTATAACTACTACTGCCACCACTACCACTACTGAAACTGGCTTACTTTATTACGTGCTTTCATGAATCAGAAACTGTTACATGTATTTTACATGTATTAATTCATTAACTCACTGCTGGCAACAGTAATCACAAAAGCACTCTGAAGAGAGTACCAATGAGTATCATATTTTATTAGACCACAAGGAAGAAGAGTAACTGCCCAAGGTCACAGAGCCATTAAAGGGCAGCGTTCGGATCCCATCCTGGGGCAGACTGTTATTTTGGAGGTCCCCAGCCAACAATTGTATTCCTGCCCTGATGGGGTGCCCTCCTGCACTGACTCCAGGCTTGGCCACGTGACTTGCTATGGACAACAGGACGTTAGTATGTGTTATATAAGCAGAGACTTGAAAAGCCACTTTCACACTGGTGTTTGCCTAGTCCATTTCTTTTAGGGACCCAGCACAAGTCACATGCAGAGGCCTCATTGGGGAGAACTGAGGCTCTCTAGTCCCAGCCAATAGCTGGCACCAACTGCCAGCTCTGCAAGGGAGTCTTGGCCACTGAAGCCCCAGCCACTATCTGATTGTAACTGCATGAAACACCCCATCAAGACCAGTAGGAGGATAACCCACATGAGCCCAGGCAACCCACAGAATTGTGAGAGATGATAGAATGGTTGTCACTTTAAGCTCCTAGGTTTTGGAATGATTTGTTACACAGCAGTAGAAAACAAAACAAAACCCAATCAGCTTGGCTATAAAGTGCATGCTCTTAACCACTTTCTAGCCTAAACTGAAGTTACTTTCCTAATCATAAAAATATACATCATTTTTGAGCATTTACTTGCTGTGTGCTAATTATAACTACTTATTTTTTAAATCTATATTTATAAAATGTTTTCTCTGTGTAGTATACTGTATATACTTATTATTATACATTTCTATCTTAAATCCAAAATGTATTTTGGGGATTAAAAACTAACAGACTGCCTATCCATTGCCAAGAAAAGTAGAAAGGATCTATTTCATTAACTTTGCTAAGAATTTATGGCAATGATGTTCACTCATTTATTCAATCATTCAACAAATAGTTAGCAGTTACTGCACAAATACTATGTTGCAGTAACCATGCTAAGCAGTCTACATACTTTTGTTCTCCACGGCCACCAGATATGAGAATGGGATGTACCAGGAACTGTGACTGAGGTCATGCGGCAGAGCAGGTAAGTGGCAGAGCCTGAATCCATGCCCAACTCAGTCTAACTTCAGGGTCCCTGTCTGCCCCTGCCCTCATTCTGCTACAATTGGTGCTGCTATACAAGCAGCAGGCACTAAACAAATCTGAGTGGATTACAACAATTACGGTCCTATAACCTGACTGAAGGCATTATTGAAGAGCTAGTCTCATTGGAAAGGTATCCAAAAGTGCCTATTCCTAGTCTCAATGTCAACTGATAGAGTACAATTTTAGATAAATCTATAAATCAGTTAAGAGTTTATACACAAACATAAATTAATGTTCAATGTATAAAGTTCTTTCACGTGGGTAAAAGTTTGCCCAAGTGTTAGACTTGCCAAGAATGTAAGCCTCTGTCTGGGTAAGTCTGTCTATAAATTCTTAGCTCAATTCCACCTAACTTGGACTAACCCAGTCAAGTTAGGTGCCCATCTTATCTTGCACACAATGGATCACATTCAATTCTTATTTTCTACCAACCTGTCTAACTTTCCAGGCTCTCCCACCCATTCTGAACTGTGAGTACCTTGAGAATAAGAAATATTTTATCTATGCTGTCATACCACCTTTAGTGAAAAAATGAGTTCCTTCCTCCAACCTTTCTCCTTTTTTTTTCCCAGCAACCACTCACTAGAGCTGTCCTTCAACCTGCCATTGGCTGAGAGAATTTTTTCTTTTGAAAGACAACAGCAGAAAACTAAGTTTTCATTATTTTGAAATCACTTTTTTCTTTTCATTTCAAAGGTGTTTAACTTATACAGTATGGGTTTAAGATTCAGAAAATGATGTAAAAAGAAAATTCCTAATACAAAGGCTAAAGTATAAGCCTATATATTACTTAGATAATTAAAATCCAAAATCTACCTGGGGAGGAAAAAAATTCCTTAAAGTAGAGGTAGAAGTAGTCATGTGTGAACTGAGATTTTTTGTTTGTTTGAGACAGGATTTTTGTGTTGCCCAGGCTGGAGTGCAGTGAATGATCATGGGTCACTGCAACCTCCGCCTCTTGGGCTCAAGCCATCCTCCCGAGTAGTTGGGACCACAGGCTCAGGCCAACACACCCAGCTGATTTTTGACTTTTTTGTAAAGACAGGGTCTCATTATGTTGTCCAGGCTGGCCTCGAATTCCTGAGCTCAAGTGATCTTCCTGCCTCAGCCTCCCAGAGTGCTAGGATTACAGGTGTGAGCCACCACACCAGGCATGTTTGGAAGGATAAGAACGAGTTGTTTGAATAGATGTTTACAATCTTTTCCACTGTTAATTGGAGTAAAACAAGGGTTAAGTTTGAGTGAAAGGATTTCCAAGCCTATGACAAATGATATGTTGTTAAAAGAACCTTTTATAAATCATTTAATTGTCAGAGTAAGTTAATCATAGCAAATATTAAGTATTAATTATCTTATCATCAAGTTAAATATTTAAACATGAATGGTAAGCACCACATGGGTATGTCTTTCATAGATGTAGAAATTCAGAATAAGTCAGGAAATTTTGAATTATCAAAATAAAGCTTGAGGAATATTCTAGTAAGTATGAATAGACTAAGAAATATTGGACTGTTACAATATGTGATTGATTACATAGCATAATTGCTAAGTTGTGTGATCATAAGTCATATAACATCGAACTATTATAATTATATAAGAATTTCCCTTAACAAGTAACTTTTCCAACTCAAATCTACCTGACAGCTAAATGCTAAATACACTGAAATCAGCAGAGGTTGAACAAGAACAAATGAATATAAACTTTCTAAAAATCAGAAAGACTTCAAGAAAATCTTCCAGCTTAGAATAAATATGTGTTTAATTTACTTCCAGATTCCCTTCTACCTAACTGGTTTTAATCACCATAACGAAAATTAATAAATGATTCGTCAGTGCTTTAGGAGACAGGGAAGTCTCCATCTGGTATATTTGGAGTTTGTGAAACATTTTCCAGTACTACCCAGTGACAGAAAACATTGGTAAGGTAAACTCTGACAGCTGAAATGCAGCAGTTGATTGCCAATGGAAGCTACAGAAAAGGATGATTAATATAAACAGGCTTTTGCCCCTGCTGCACAGCAACATTACATAAAGCAGTGCTGTTTCAGGAGACTTTTGTATTTTAATTTCCAAGAGTCCATAGGGTAATAAATTTTTTTCCTTCATCTTGTTTGATCTTTGATATTTAAGACCAACTTCTGTGTTTTGTTTATTTTTTCTTTGCACTGGAAAAAGAACATAAAGCGAGTGACAACACATAATCAGGGCTAATTGGTATTTTTCAGAGAAAAAAAGGAAACACCTTTTATGATAAGCCAAGTGCAAACATTTGCAAATAGGGTATCTTGCACCAAATAGTCATGTCAGTAAAAAAAAGTAGTTATGTTGCAGGCATGGAAGTATTTGTTAGTTTCAGATTTAATCATAGCTAGTGGTTTTAATTTATATTTCCCTAAAATTTGGCTATTACACAAAGCAAGTACTTTAAAGGACTAAATGATTGTCTTTTCCCTGAAGGAAAGAAACTGAAAGTTGATTTCAAACTGCAAAGAATAGTAGAGACAAGGCATTTTAAATAAAAATAAATAAAGGAGGTAGGTAAACCATTGATGGCCAGCTTGTTTAATATAAGAAGATTTAGTTTCCTTAAAAAAAAAACTTACTATTTTTTTTTACCCTAAAAATGATCACAATGATGCAAGCTAACTATTCCTCCTTAAAATACTATCAAATATGTAGGGGTCTTCTTATTGCACATTTGGTAAGGTCTGTGTTGTCAAAACAGGTGATGACAGCGGTACTATTTTGTGTTATTTTAGCCATCACTAGCCTTCCTAGTATTTTTCACCACTCCCACTTGCTGGCAGTATATCATGGCACAGTTTCAACAGAATTCTACTATGAGCTGTGAGCTAACTGGGAAATGTCAACATGTAAAGCCATGTCTAGAATTAACCTGTCTTTAACAAGGGCAAACTCCCACACTCTCTCTTCTCTTTCAAAACTTAATTATAGCAGAAGCACAGCAAAAGGGGTGGAGACAATTGGATGCAGGGATGCTAGAAACAATTCTATAGCCAAAAGATAAGATAATCACACAAAATCTATCATGAACATTTCGCCATGGAACCAGAAAATAATACTGTCCATCTTGTTAGAGCACAAACTCCTCTAAGTAAGAACCATATGGTCATCTGCATAAGGCTCTCTATCCCTCCGAAGTGAAAGGATCATGCCCTTTAGCTTGCTGTGATACATGTGCCTTCCCCCAGTGGAACATCTGACTTTAATTGAACAGTTATTGAGGTTCCTGCTGTGACATCCTAGAGGTATCATCACACTTTCAGGCAATAGATTTGCTGTGATCCACCCCATCTCCCCTTTAGTAACGAGAGGTCAACATTCTGTCTCAAGCCAAATTACACGCTATATGATGGCTTTTCTTAGCACTGCTCTCTGCCTGGTAACGTTGAAAAATGACCAGTAACGATATGACAAATCAGAAAAGACCCTGAAGGACATGGCCCTCATGTAACCTAATCAGCATCTCTAAATAAGTTGTCAGAGTCAAAATGACCACAAGTCACACACTGGAAGGACATGGCTGCTGCATACCTGGAATCTTTCTCATATCAGAGTGGATCCACAAGGATTTCTGTGAAACAACCATGGAAGTACAAAAGAGATGTTCAAAACTTTTGCAAGACTTGAGAAAACAAAGAAGTAAAATGTGGTTTTCAGATTAAAAATAACAACAGCAACAACTGATTAAAGCATTTCCTAGATTCTCAGCAACTTAAGAAAATTTCATGGAGAAAAGAACAGAGATCTAAAGATTTGGACTGTCGTCAATATGAGTGACCTCTGACAGTGCTAATAGCATCCCAGGGATAATAAAATGACATAGAAAGGAGCTCAGATGTTGTCTCTTGAGGAGGTCACTTCTCATTTGGGCTGTTTATCCTTTGTCTTCTCAAAACTAATTTATTTTAGACCTGACTATCAGGGAGAATAAATATATTCTATTCCTCATTTTTTCTCATGCATATATAGTTCAAAGCTATCCATACTGTTTTAGCACAAAACAAACAAATGCAATGTATTTCCAACATAGTTTTGACTGAGGCTTCATTTAAATCCACTATTTAACAACTGTAGATAATGCAAATATGCCGATGGAGTCTACTGAAACACATGAAAAGATGCTATCTAATTATGTGTCATAACAGCATAAATTGTTGCTTTTGTTTAAATGACATAAATTTAAAAGTTCAATTGATTTTGAAAGAATGGGTACAGACCCTGACAGAAATATAGCAACCATTAAGGTAATTACTGTATAACTACTGTGTCCACACTGTTGACTTCCAAATCTATATATCTAGGCCTGATCTCTCTACGGCCTAGACCCAGCTTTTACATTTCCCCCTGGACAGCTCCACCTGGACGTTATATGGGCACCTGGATCTCCATCTGACCAGAATAGAGTCTCTCCTCTCTCTTCCTACCCCACCCTAAATCTGCTCCTCTGTGTGCTCAGCCTGTACATTCCATATGCAATCATTCAAATCAGAAGCCTGCACTTCATCCTAGATGTCCTTGCTCTTTCATTCAAGCAGCCTTTAGAGCCTAGGATTTCTAACTCTTGGGTTTCTCTCAAACTCTTTCCTTCTCTCCATTTCTACTGTTATTGTCAAATGTCATGCTTTCATTGTTTCTTGCCTGGATTTTAGAAATATTCTCTACTATGGCTCTTTCTGCTTCCAGTTTCTTTTTATTTTTCATACATACCTGATATTACTGTTCCATTACATATCGTCCTTCAGTGGTTGCCAAACACTTACCCATAGAAGAAAGAGTTATCAAACCCCATTCCCCTCATCCAGGCCTTCACCCCTACCCTGGCCTCTTTCTCCTAAGTGAGCCTCATGACTTCCAGCCTAGAAAAGTAATTGTAGGCTCTATCTGACCCTGGCCCTCTGGACAACAGGGTTGAAATGGCCATGTTTCTTATCTGCCTCCTGAATGCCATCTGGGTGCTTCCAATCATAATTAAGCACCTTTCCCACATAGTTGTTTATATCTTTTTCTTATAATAATTTTGTATATATCTGTGCCCTTTCCCACCAAATTTGGAGCTCCTCAAAAACAGAATACATGTGCTGTTCATATTTTTTTCTTCAGCAACTACCACATGCATGGTGCATAGGAGGCAATTTGATAATGCTGAAAGATAAGTAAACAGAACAATTGAGCCACGAAAGATGCTTCAGTTCTTGGATTCAAAGCTACAACAATAGGACAAAAAATATAAAGTCAATTGCTGGCATCTATGGTTTGAATAGTTCCTAAGCAAACATTAATAAAATATTATTTATAAAAAAGAAAATGAAATGATAATGCAAATCATACAAAAAACCAGGAGGCACCTAACATTTACATTTTATCATCAGTAGAAAAGATTAAAAATACTTACAGAGAAAGCTGAAGATTCAGAAAATGCAGATTTTTATTTTCAATCAATTACAACTGAAGAGGATGTTAAATGTTCTCATCTGAAAAAATGAAACTGGCATCATAGTCCTATTACTTTTTGTCATGTCATGATTGTAAGAGTTTTCAGGGTCTAGGTATGTGATTTAGCATCACTCTTTGTATACGCATATCTACAGCCTTCAAGGCACTAGGCCTCAGGAAAGAGATAAAGACACTTTATGTGACTCTGCGATGCAGATGAATGCTCTCTAAAAAGGAATATAAAATGGAAACCTCCTTAAGTTCCTACCCTCAGGCAGGCTTTCTTATACCACAAGATTTACTGTAGAGATTGAGCTGAAAAAGTTTCAAAAAACCTGAAACATCAGTATAGCAGATGGTAGACATACTTTGAGTTCCAGATGTCCACAAACAGCCCTGCTATAGCATCAGACTCATGGGTCACCCATCCCAGAATCACATGTTCTTACAGTGATCAAGGGCTGGTGTATGGAATGCCATGATTTTCCCTTGTAATGCTAAACTTAAAATGATAAGCACGTATTTCTCAAACATCCCAGTTTCCTAAATAACTTATTGAAAAGCTATTATTCTTAAGCTAATTTAAATCCTTCCTGAAAACCAAAATTTACTACAGACTCCCTACCTGAATCTAGGGAATTGGCTGGACTTGAATCAGAATTGTTTTCAGAATTGCAGGATGAGAAAGCCCAACACAGAGGAATTTAAAGGGATTTCACCAAAGGCAAGGAAATACTATCCACAATAATTGTGTGAATCTAGAGCCATTTTAAGAAATCACCTTCAATTTAATACAAACAAATTTCATACTTTCTCATTGTAAATGATCAGAAACCAACCCAACTATAAAAATAGAAAAAAATGCAGGAGCTATAACTTTGTCACACATCTTTATTACCTTTAAAAATAACTAATGAAAAACATTCACAAAAAAGACCAAATGGGGAGAAAAAGAGAGAAGCTGTAAAAGGAAAAGCCCGAAAGATCCTTTTAAGTGTAAGACACATAAATTTTTCTTTCTCTCTCTCTTATTTAACAACCCTCCTCTGTGAAAAAAGGTTTTATGTGATCAGTCAGAACTTCTAGATAGTCACTAAAACAGAGGGAATTAGACAGTAAATAGAGATAGAGTCCAGCCACAGAGATCAAAACTGAGATTTCATGTTCTTCCCACTGGTCCTAGGAACATTCATATAAAATAAATGAATGGATGAATGAATGAATGAATGAATGAATGGTGTATACTTATAACCTCAAATACTACACTCCTCTCTAAATCCTTTGAAACCCAAACTTCTTTACCATATCTATTACAGCATTAGATACCTTATTCTAAATTGCTGCACAATAAAATTTAAACAGCTATTTCCATATTAGAAATTATGAAATCGTATATTAGGTTATGTCTTTATTAGATTTCTTTGCCATATTTGAACATGATATGTTGATGGAGTCATCTTTTTGGGTAAAAATTCCTGAGCTATCTTTAGGAGCAATGAGTGAATTCTAAGCCATTTTAACCTTTGTGTGAACACCTGCTAAATAAGAAGTACAGCAAATTGACATTTGGATAAAATATTGCTCCAGGGTCAGAATTCCATAATGGCACTTCCTACATTTAAAGCAATTTCTCTATCTCCTGAAATGTTTAATTTTCTTCTTGATATTCTATAGTACATAAACATAGATATAGATATACATACATCAATCTAAAGACTTGAAAAATTCAAGATTATCTATCTACCTATCTATCTATCTATCTATCTATCTATCTATCTATCTATCTATCTCTATTTATCTACCCAAAGACCTGAAATAGCCACAGGCTGAAGTTTTGGGTAATTACTCAAGAGGCTGAAGAACAGACAGTAGGAATTTTGATTGAATCAAAGTTATACACTCACTTGATTTGCAATCAAAATGTTTCCTTACTAAAGACCACAGACCACATTATTATATCACTTACTTAAAGACAAAAAGACAAATAATGGTGATGAATGAAAGTAAAGATCTTGCCAATAAATTTCATTCTCTGTAAGTGAAATTACACTATCATGAAAGCTCTCGTTTTGTATATAGATGTGTCCTGAAGATATTTTGTCAATTCTCCAAACTTTTCCTTTGATTGCTAATTTTAACTCTGGAAATCAGTCAAATAAACACAAATACAAAATGTAGCTGAAGAAGCAAGTTTTGAAGTTTTTCTGTATCAAGGAAGTAGTCCAGTAACATTTCTTCCAGATGCTGTGTTAATTAAGATTCTTTTTTCTATTTTTCACTTACGGCAGTACAAAATGTTCTCTTAATCTCTATCCTATTAAAGACACATATATATGGAAAAACTAAGGATTCAGGTAAAATAATTCTTGGCTTAGTTTACACTTTATATTACAATTATAGTTTTATTTCTGTCAGGCTCCTTTTGAAAACTGATATTCACACAGGAGACAAGAATGTGGTTATATTTTTAAGCATATAGATTCAAGTTGGTTTAACTATGTTTACTTTTACATCATTTTTAAATCATGGCAAGTTAAATATTCTTAGTAATCAGGAGAGTCACTCTTATAGAACCTCTAAACAAACTCATGTAAATATTATTTGGGGGATTCCACATATTGAGAAGGTGCTGTGTATCTTAAAAATATTGGGCCATTGCTAAGCAGAGACTTCCCACCACATCTCCTTTAAACATCCCTAGAAGTGTCCCAAGAGAGGCAAGACAAAAGTATTTTGTATAGTGATGCTACTCTGAATGAACATTTTTATTATTTTTACCTCCATTCTTGCAATTTGGGTTTCAAAGATAACTACAGTAGACAAAAGCCAGAAAACTTTTGTACCTTAACTGCCTGCAAAACAAACTAAAAAACTCTTTAAAGGAAGACAGTGAAATCCAGACACTCAACAAATAACATTCACAATGCCCAGAAAAAGAGGAGCACTAGCAATTTCACATATCTTACGGGCAAAGTTATAGCACTAATGCTATAACTAGTTGTATAAAAAGGCACTAAATCCAAAAGAAATTCTAAAGTTAACTACAGTTAATTCACTCATCATTTATTTCTTCAACAAAGATTGTTTATATATTAACCATATGCTAGGAAAACAAATTACACTGATAACTATTGATTCATGATTTACAATCAATCATATGGGAGGGTGGATCTCTTTGCTTTTAACCATCCCATAAAACAACTTATGGATTTTTAGGCCTGGTTCTTAAAAACTGAATCCTCCTTTAATGTTGTTTAGTGGTTTCTTCTCCTAACATAAAAGCTAGAAATTGTGGCCCAATGAACTTTGCCCTACACTGACAGTGAATTGACCTTGTTTCTATATGAACTTCAGCAAGTCATATTCTGTACCATACTCAAAGGAGATAATATTAGTACCTATGATTTTACACTGAAGAGTAGTACCATAGTTCATTTGTTCATACAGAGTGCATATATTGAGCACTTTGTACATAAAAGGCACATCCTGGGCCCTGGAGATGCAAAATAATAGAGTCCTTTATCCTCAATGAATAAGAACGTTCATAACTGTACCATCTGTAATATCCTCAAACGAGGACATTAGAAATGGAATGAATAAATTAATTTACATTGTAATACAGTGAAAATAAACTACAGCTATATGAAACAAAATGGATGAATCTCATAAATATAATACTGAATTTAAAATGACAGACCGAAAAGAGTCCATACAGTATGATTCCATTTCAATAAAATTCAAAAGACAGCAAAACTAATCAAGGGTGGCAGATTTTGGAATAGTGGTTATCCTTGCTGAGGAGAAAGTTATAACTTGAAAGGGACAAGAGCAGGCTTCCAAGGTGCTGATTATGTTCTGGGATGTTAGTTTACACAAGTATGCTCATTTTGTGAAAACTTTCTCAGGCTGAATATTTATGACTTGTTCACCATTCTGAATGTGTGCCATACTTTGATCAAAAGTTGCTTTAAAAATTACAGCATAGGCCAGGCATGGTGGCTTACACCTGTAAACCCAGCACTTTGGGAGGCCAAGATGAGTGAAACACCTGAGGTCAGGAGTTCGAGACCAGCCTGGCCAACATGGTGAAACCCCATCTCTACTAAAAATACAAAAATTAGCCAGGCATGGTGGCACATGCCTGTAATCGCAGCTACTTGGGAGGCAGGAGAATCGCTTGAACTCAGGAAGTAGAGGTTGCACTGAGCCAAGATTGCATCACTGCACTCCAGCCTGGGCAACAGAGCGAGATTCTGCCTAAAAAAAAAAAAAAAATTGTAGTATAGAAACTAAGAATTCTGGCCATGATTTGGAATCCCACTATAAACAAACAACTGAATTTGCCCTCCTTCCACCATAAACAACTAGAAAACTGGACAAAATATGGAGCAACTATTTTCAGAAAATGGATAAGCGGCAGTTCAGAGCTGTTTTCCCTAAGTTATCTCTATGATCGTTCCTGCATTCCAATTAGAAATTGGAAGCAATTTCTAAACTGAAAAACAGGAAGGGACAACCCAACCAAAGTACTGTGGTCTCACTGAATTGAGACAAAGATTAGAGCTCAGGAAGGCCAAGGCAGCTCCAATTTGCAGGACAGAATAATAGAGAGGAGAAATCAGCTATGCAGAGGGGCTTCAGAAATCCTCATAAAGGCCCTCTTTTTTTTTTTTGTTAAATTGTTGGCTGCACACTTGTGGAATAAAATTCTACAAGGTCAGGAAAAGAACTATGAGGGAGTTGGAGCTAAAATATCCTCAGAGCTCACTCAATGCTGGGAGATGTTCATGTGCTGTAAATAGCCAGGGTAGGGAGACCTCATGGAAAACATGGAACATTCAGTATAGACTCCAGAGGGGTCACATTTGTCACAGGTTCAAACTAATACCAGAATAAGGGCTGCTTTAGACACATCCTTAAAAACTTAAGAACCAGCTTTGAAAGAATCCAAGATGACCCACAACTACCTTAACTGCCTGCAAAACAAACTAAAAACTCTTTAAAAGAGGACAGTGAAATCCAGACCCTCAACAAGTAAAATTTACAATGCCCAGAATTCAACTGAAAATTATACAGACACTGGAAAGCACGACGCAGACCCAGGAGAAAAATCAGTCCCACAAAAACAGACCCAGAAATGACAGAGGTGGGGAAATTAGTAGACAAGGCTTTTAGAGCAGCTATAATAAACATAGTCAAAGATTTAAGGGGAAACTATAAATCATGTATTTAAAAAGCTGAAAAAAAATTCCAAGGAGAAAAAAGAAAAAGACCAATACAAGAAAAATTATACTCAAATTGCTGTAAAGCAATGATAAAGAGAAAATCTTAATGTAGCTATCCACGCATTATGAACAGAACAAAGATAACAGTGACAGCACAATTCTTATCAGAAATTTTAAGCCAAAAGCAATAGACAAACATGTTCAAATACTGATAAAAAAATATGCCACAGAAAAATATATTTTAAAAACAAGAGTAAAATAAAGACTTTTTCAGACAAAATCTGAGAGCATTCATTGCCGGCACCTGTACACTATAAGAAATACTAAAAGAAGTCCTACAACCAGAAGAAAAATGATATCAGATAGAAATTTCTACACAAGGAATTGAAGAACAATAGAAATGATACATGTGAGAGTAAATGTAAAATCATTTTTATTACTTTTAAATTCATTTAAACAACAATAGACTTTTTAAAGCAAAGATAATAACAACATGTTGTGGGGTTTATAATATATGTAGAAGCAAGGTGCCTGACAGCAGTAGCACAAAGGATGGGATGTGAAAAATGGAAATACAGTCAGCCTTCCATATCCATGGGTTCGCATCCTCAGATTCAACCAACTGCAGAGCAAAAATATTTTTTAAAAATAGCAATACAAAAATTTTCTTCCATTCTGTGACAAAGGGCTAATATCCAGAATCTACAAAGAACTCAAACAAATTTACAAGAAAAAAACAACCCCGTCAAAAAGTGGGCCAAGGATATGAACAGACACTTCTTAAAAGAAGACATTTATGCAGCCAACAGACACATGAAAAAATGCTCATCATCACTGGCCATCAGAGAAATGCAAATCAAAACCACAATGAGATACCATCTCACACCAGTTAGAATGGTGATCATTAAAAAGTCAGGAAACTACAGGTGCTGGAGAGGATGTGGAGAAATAGGAACACTTTTACACTGTTGGTGGGATTGTAAACTAGTTCAACCATTATGGAAGTCAGTGTGGCGATTCCTCAGGGATCTAGAACTAGAAATACCATTTGACCCAGCCATCCCATTACTGGGTATATACCCAAAGGAATATAAATCATGCTGCTATAAAGACACATGCACATGTATGTTTATTGCAGCACTATTCACAATAGCAAAGACTTGGAACCAACCCAAATGCCCATCAATGATAGACTGGATTAAGAAAATGTGGCACATATACACCATGGAATACTATGCAGCCATAAAAAATGATGAGTTCATGTCCTTTGTAGGGACATGGATGAAGCTGGAAACCATCATTCTCAGCAAACTATCTCAAGGACAAAAAACCAAACACTGCATGTTCTCACTCATAGGTGGGAATTGAACAATAAGAACATTTGGACACAGGGTGGGGAACATCACACACTGGGGCCTGTTGTGGGGTGGGGAGAGGGGGGAGGGATAGCATTAGGAGATATACCTAATGGAAATGATGAGTTAATGGGTGCAGCACACCAACATGGCACATGTATACATATGTAACAAACCTGCACCTTGTGCACATGTACCCTAGAACTTAAAGTATAATAATTAAAAAAAGCAATACAACAATAAAAAGATACAAGTTAAAACTAATACAGTATAACAACTACTTACATAGTATTTACACTAACTATTTTCAGAGTATTTACACTATTTATATAGCATTTATACTGTTTTAGGTAGTATAAGTAATCTAGGGATGGTTTGAGTATAGCAGAGGAAGTGTATAGGTTATATGCAAATACTATGCTATTTTATATAAGGGACTTGAGCATCTGCAGACTTTAGTATCCATGTGGTGATCCTGGAACCAACTCCCCACAGTTACTGAGGGACAATTGTATTCTGCCGTGAGATTCTTACATAATATGGAATGTGGTACAATGTTAGCTGACGGTAGACTAACTTAAGGTTAAAAAAATATATATCATAAACCCCAAGCAAGTGCTTTAAAAATAAAGCAAGGAAATGGGGTAATAAAAGATATTAAAACGCAATAGTAAAAAATAATTCAAAAGAATGCAAGGATAGGGGGAATAGGTAATAAGTAAAGTTGGAAGAACCAGAAAACAACCTACAAAATAGTAATCCTTAACCCAAACATATCAAATAATTACATTAAATGTAAAAGGTTTAAAGATTGCAATTACATGGCAGTGGTTGTCCAATTAAATTAAGATGTAAACCCCAATTATATGCTGTCTAGGAGAAACCCACTTTCAGTATAAAAACGCAGATAGGCTAAAAGAACAAAAAAGATATATTGTGTAAACACTAATTATACAAAACCATAAATGGCCATGTTAATCAGACAATGTCAACTTCAGAATAAAGAACATTATCAGAAATTAGAAGAGACATTTTATGATAAAAGAGACAGTTCATCAAAAAGTACAAGAACCCCAAATGTGTATTCACCTAATAACAGAGCTTCTGGCAAGCCACGGTGGCTCACACCTGTAATCCCAGCAGTTTGGGAGGCTGTGGCAGGTGGATCACTTGAGGCCAGGAGTTCAAGACCAACCTAGCCAACATGGAGAAACCTCGTACCTACTAAAAATACAAAAATTAGCCAGGCATGGTAGCACATGCCTATAATTCCAGCTACAAGGGAGGCTGAGGCAGGAGAATTGCTTGAACCCAGGGGGCAGAGGTTGTAGTGGGCTGAGATCGTGCCACTGCATTCCAGCCTGGGTGACAGAGCAAGACTCCATCTCAAAACAAAAACAAAAACAAAACCAGAGCTTCAAAATACATGAAGCAATAAAGAAGAGAATTGAAAGAAGTAGAAATAGACAAACCCACAAATACAGTTGTCAGCTGAAGACAGAAAATCAGTAGGTCTACAGAAGACCTAACCATCATCAACTAACTTGACCATATTGGCATGTATAAAACCTTCCACTCAATAGTTGCAGAATACACATTCTTTTCAAGTCTGTACATGAAACATTTACCAAAATAGAACATAGGCTGGATCATAAAATTAATCTTAAAAAAATTGATGGCATTGAAATTAGACAGAATATGATTTCTGACCGTAACAGAATTAAATCAAAAATCAATAGTAGACAAAAATGATCTGGAAAATCCCTAATATTTGGAAATCACGGAACACAGTTTAAAATTAGTCATGTCCAAAGAATAAATCATAGTGGAAATCAGAAAATATTTTTAGCTGGATGACAATGAAAACACAACATTATCAAAATTTGACCTTGGACTAGGCAACAATTCTTTAGACAGGTCACAAGAAACATTAAGAATAAAAGAAAAAAAATGATACATTTAAACAAAGACATTTGAGAGACAACAGAGGAAAAAGACCTTAGGAAGAAGAAGAAGAAAGATAAATCAGAGAGGTGGGTGGGACACTAAAAAGGAACTTCTTAAGATGGAGTGACATCTTAAGATGCCAAATAGCAAAGCCAAGAGTGCAGGTAAAAGAAAGCAGAGAGGACAACACTGGTGATGAAACTCACTAAAATTAGTATGTGAAAGAGTGTTTGGACGAGGACACTCAGTACATTTGGAAGAAATTACTTATAACTCTGAATTCCACAGTAGTTTGGGTATTTAACTATATTGACACTTGCAGATTAAATACTGTGAAACACATTCTTAAACTTCGTATGCTCCCCCTACTCTTGCCACCAAAACAATTCATTGTGAAAGCTATCTGCTGTGTTTCCAACTAAATCTAAAGAGGGCATTTCTATAGTAATTCTGTATCACTTAAAATTAATAGTAACCAGGCCAGGTGTTGGTGGCTTATGCCTGGGAGGCATAAGGCACTTTGGGAGGCTGAGACGGGCAGATCACTTGAGGTCAGGAATTTGAGACTAGCCTGGGCAACATGGTGAAACCCCAACTCTACTAGAAATGCAAAAATCAGCCAGGCGTGGTCGTGTGTGCCTGTTGTCCCAGCTACTCAGGAGGCTGAGACACAAGAGTCGCTTGAACCTGGGAGGCAGAGGTTGCAGTGAGCAGAGATCAAGCCACTGGACTCCAGCCTGGGCAACAGGACAAGACTTCGTCTTAAAACAAAAGAAAAATTATAGTAACCAAGCTCTTGTAAAATATGTCTCATTTGTTCATTTTGGCAAAGGTACAAGAACCCTAAATGTATATTCCCAGGAGGTAATGCTACTGACAATGAAAACCAATTCAAATTACTGAATTCATAAAACCGTATTTTAGACATACGAACAAATCTGCATGCTTTCAATAAACCTTTAACTGTTTCAACAGAGTGATAACCTGAACCTATTCTTTATCACTTATTCTCACTTCTAAGAGTCACCTCTATAGTTGGTGTTCTTAAGATTTGAAGGTGAAGGGACGAAATGGTTTCTCTCTTATTTTGTTTTCCTCAGAAACACTAAGGATATTGATATGTCTGTAGCAGGGCTAGGCATTTCCCATGGGAATCTGTGGCCATAGGAAGCATTTGAAAATGGTGACCATGTCTCCATTTTATTCAGTATAATGCTATCTCTATCTGGATGATCAGGAAGTAGGCAACTCTACTAATGTGGAGAGTCAATCCAGTATGTGGTTTGTGTGAAAAAAATTTAATATTTTAAAGTAGACTTATATCCACAGGGCCCTCACCTAATTCAAGCATGGAAATCGCAACCAGCTGACTTAAATCCAATTTTGTACATGTCCCTAAAAATAAGAATAATGAAATATCTGCTCTGTGGATTCTGGATTCTGAAATAACAACTCCAACAGCTAATAGCCTCAATAACAGAGCATGAGCAACTACTTAGGAGAGGAAAAAACCTTCCATTCCATTTGCTGTATATCAACTGGCCCTCATTAGGAATTCCTGGTGTCTAGCATACAACCGAGGCAGTGGTAGCTAGAGCCCCCGAAGTTATAATGTTAAATACGGCTACAATGCTAAATAGAACAAGCAGTGATTTCTTAATATTACCTTGGAGGCACAGTAGAAGTCATGCTGACTTCCTAAAGCATCTGGCCTCTCCCGCGAAGAGGTCCCCCCTCCTTCATATAGTCTGGCTCATTATAACATCAAGTTGATATCATTATCTTTAAAACAACTCAAAATTATTAATTTGTCTTGCAAGAGTCACAGCATAAGAATTTATAATCAGCACACAAGAAAAATAAACAGGTACTCCAAAGAGGACTGATTTACTTAAGGAATAATGCCAGAAGCATTAAACATGATCGTTTTGCTTTTAAATAAAATGTGGTTAATTTGATTACTATTTATTTTGTTTCTTGCCAAATTTCAATCAACTTTTATGGCAGGACTAAGCTTCTAAGTAGAGTGATTTTTTTTTTGTTTTGTTTTAAATAATGGAAGCACTTTTCTAAACTTAACCACGGCTAACTAATGGGAGGTTAAAGTTGTACATTATGGATCTATGCTTATCCTCAAATGTATTTATCCACAATGCATGCACACTTAGGTCTGGGTTACAATGAGTGCATATGTGTATTGTAGACTCTCATTAATTCATAACAGCTTAAATTGTGATTTTTATTTGGCATCCTACTGTGGAACCCAGTAGAGATTGCCGAATTGCTCAGCTAAACGTTTTCAAATCCGTGACTCTCTATTTGGTTATTCAGTCAGAACAAAATCCCTGCAAAGAAAATCCTCTTCCTAAAATGTACCCCATTTTCCTGGCTAAAAAATCATTCTGAAGAAATGTGAACAGTTTGCCTACTTGTTTAAAGAGTTTATTTGCAAGAAAAACTAACACTATAAGCATCAATAGTACTTAAAGGGAATTGAAGAAAGAATTCCCTCATTGTGCATAATCCAGGCTTGCTATAAAAAACTACACATAGAAAATAGAAATGTTGTATTTATTATTTTGGAACACTTTTCAAAAACTTCAAGTCACCAGAAAACGGTCTCATATGACTCCATTGTGATATAAGGACTAGCTACATTAATATAATTATGTTTCATAGGAAGTTCAAAGAACTAGTAATTTCATAACTAATACCATGTAAGACCTCCATAAAAATAAATTGAAAAAAAATCATCTGCTCTGAACAACAAAGCACATACTGAGGTCCCCAGAAAAGGGTAAAACTATTCCACTTAGCATGATGCCTAGAACACAGTGGTCTGTAACAAATATTTGTTGAATGAATACTGGAGGGTCCCACTCACAGTCCATGGGATTTTGTTTCTAACAAAAAGATAGAAAACTTGATTCCCACCTTAACTAGTTTTTAACAGAGCCTTTTTATAGAGATCCTCTATTAGGTTTAATAATGTTTTTAATGTGTTTTTATTGCTTTAGTTCACTGGCTATCCCTGACTTGGAGAAAAATAGGAAAAGTAAACATTGCAATTGTTTTTTTGTTTTTACTTAAAAGGTAAGTCTGTTTCCAATTAGAGAATATTAAGGAAAAGAAGATTTTTTGTGTGTGATTATGGAAAAGTGATAGGAATCGCATGGTTCGAAGTAGCAGGCTTGGCGATAATGTTAAATAGAGTAAGCATCATGGAAATAAATATTCCCAAGAGTTGAAAAACATCCTGTGTTTTAAATAAAAAGTGGTCCTATAATTATTGAGTCACATCGATTTACTTAAAAAGAACAGTGGCAAAAGGTGGTACTATAGCTCGTCTCCAAGAAGGCCACCGTCAATTCTTTCCTTCCCTGGATAAGCAACCATTCCCGTTTGACAGTCAGTCTATCCTTTCACCCTGATGAATATGGGCTGGGTGGTGACTGTTTTGATGAATAGAAAATGACACCATATTACCTCCAATATTGGGTTATTAGAAGCCGTGTAGCTTCCACCTGGTCTCCTGGAATACTCACTTCTGTGGGAAGCCAATCAGCATATAAGAAGTCCGACTTCTCTGAGAATGCTGACTCCCCTGAGAAACCCAAGATAGTCATGTGAAGAGGCCAAGCCAAGAAAGAGCTGTCCAGCCAGTCATTGCAGCCTGGCACCAGACATGGGAGTTAGGAAGACTTCAGATGCTGTAGCCACAGTTCCATTTAGGTGTGCTGGCTGAGGAATTCCAAGTGAGAACTGCCTTGCTGAGCCTATTAACCCCAGAACTAGACATATTAATAAATTGTTGTCATAAGCCACCAAGTTTTGGCTAGCTAAAGAATATCACACAAAAATAAAACATTAGTCAGGTTTTCAGAATGATGTTTAATATCATTCTATTGCTAAAGCCAGTAGGATTTTAAAACAATGTAAGGTAAGAACCTAATTAATGTTCGGTATTCCACAAGTTGCTAAAATCAGTAATCTGGGAGTCATGGTAAACTCCCCTTTTTCACTCAGTCCCCTCATCCACTCAGTAACCAAGTTCTCCACAGTCTACCCCTTAACCTCTCTTAATTCTAGCCATTCCTCTTCATCCACATTGCCCTTGCCTTATATCGATCTGTAACTTCTTGTTTTGATTACACTAGTGTTCCTTTCTTTAGATCATCTAACCCCACCCCCAGCCCCTGCTGTATCATCTATAACCCAAACTCACATCTATAGTGTACACCACAACCATAATAATCTTTTCACAGCACATTCAAGCTTCTCACCTTTCTACATAAAATCCTTCAATGGCCCTCACTAACTGTTACAATGAAGTTCAAATTCCTTGGTCTGGCACATGAGGGTCTTCATGGTCTGGCATCCACATACCTCTCAAGTGTCATCCCCTGCCTCACTCCTCCCCACATATCCACCTAACTACAGCAACCTTCTTGTAACTGGCTGAGAGAGTTAAGTATTTCCAGTATTTGCTTCCCCAAATGCTCTTTATTTTGCTTACAACACCCATCCCCCTGCTTCTTCATCTATCTAGCTCCTATACATGCTTCAAAATTCAGCTTAGAAATGACCTCTTCTGAGATGCTTCCCTGAACTGGCCCATCTGACACCTCTCCTCTGGGCTCCCACAGACTCGGGTTCTTTTTCACTCGTGAGTTCAGTGCACTCAAGTTAATTTTCCTCCTCCCCCCTATTTAAAGTAAGGGAGGCTGGGATGCCTGACACTTCTTAGGCCTTCAATAAATATTCCTTAAAGAAATACTAATTGAAAGCTGTAATATTTGCATTGATGTGATGAAAAATCATAAATATCACTCCCAACAGCGAGTAGGAAATTGTTTCTCTGGGGAAGATCATACAATTCAAGTTAAAAGTGAATGGGAGGCTTCTCAGAGGCATTCACTCTAACCTGAGCCTTGGCAAGGATGCAGATAGCTCACCAGGTGGTATGAAGGGTTGGAGTGTCCTAGCAGAAGGAGAAGTCTTTGCCAAGGTGTCGAGGTGAGAGAGAAATGGAGAGCATTTGGCAAACCTGGATAAATGTGGCTATTGCTTTAGAGTGTAAAGAGAAGAGCAAAATGTGGGGGTGGTATGGAAGGCAGAAGCCTGAAAAGAGAGGGCTCTGCATGCTCTGAGAAGGACATTATATTTTCTTGTGTAGACAATGGGGAGCCATTCAAAGATTTTAAATGGAAGGGGAACATTATTGGGGTTACGTGTTAGAGGACTTAAATGGAGAACTGATGAAAGGAGAGACAGAAAGCAGAGAAGAGCACTCAAGAATCTAATGCAGTAAAGCAGGTAAATTCAAAAGACATGGAGTTAGAACATGGAGTTAGAATAGATGGGACTTGGTAACTGACAGGATATAAGGGACAGCCAACTAGGAGGTGTCTCAGAATTTTGCTCTGAGTACTTATGTGAATGGAGATGGCAAATTAAAATAAAATTAAATTAATTTCCAACGATTTCTGAGAATTTCATAATGAACTTTGAGCTAGAGACATTTTGCAAATCAAGGGATATAGTGCTTACAAGAGATGATTACGACACTAGTGTCCATTTGCTATGAAATAGTCATGAAATATGATCCTTTTGGATTATACCATGGATTCTCTGTGTGATCCCAAAGAGTCATTTAATCTTTCTGTGCTTCAGTCTTATAAATTCTTCCATATACATAAGAAGAAAATATATGCTTCTCAGGTAAGTCAATAAAGCAACTCAAAAGTAAATTTGACTATGTGGTAATTTCTGTTTCCTAAAGGCAATATGAAATACAATCTCAATTTCCTCCTCTATTAAAAAAGAATTAAAAGGGGAGAAGGCTTAAATAATTTCAAATGGCCCCTTCAGCTCCAAAAATCAATGGCTCCATAAGTCAGAGCACTCAGTTGGAGTCCACGTTCTGCTCAGGTCAGTGGTTGATACTCAACAAGAACCAAGGGATTTACGGTGGAGGTAGGTTGTCCTATTTAAGCACTTCCTGCTGAGTGAAGTAGTACTTCCTTTTACTTGTTTTAATGTTTTTCTGTTCTTTATCATGTTATCTTTTAATGAGGTGTTTTCATTTGTTTAACAAATATTTATTGAGTGCCTACTATGTGCTGGGCATCATATTAGGTGCTGGTGAAACAAAATTAAATGAGACATGCTCCATTTTGTTGCATTTCTTAACTGTAAGCCATATTCAAGCCAAAATACATCATCTCATAAAGTAATATTTATCATATACATGATCCTGCTCTAGGAACCATGCCAGGCTACCCCATTAAACTTGATGGACCTGAGAATAGTAAAACTATACACTGTATAATGTATTTATAGTATATAGCAAGGCAACAAAGTCCCCCGAGAAGGGAAGGCAGGAAAACTGAAAAATCATCATGTGTGTACTTGGAACTCACAGACCATTGGCAAGCTCCTTGACTATTTCGTGACTCCATTTCTTTATAAAATGGGAATAATAAGGCCTACTTCTGGTATTCCTCATAGGATATTATAACGATTAAATAAGTAAAAGCACATTAATTACTCTGAGCCTTAAAAAAAGAACTAAATAAATGTTAGGCATTGTTGTTTGGTAGAATTACATAAAATCACATTAAAGTCAAAAGCCTACTGTAGTTATTTTAATGGAAGGTTAAATCCCAAGATGAAAGCAGGGTGAGATGAATAACTAAAATAAGGGCACACCCCTAGTTAGATCTAGGTAACAACTAAAATTAAAACTGGAATTAGCTGCATGACTGACAGTTCCTCACACAGGAAAGAACTTACAAGATATACAGTCTGTGTCTATAAAGCTGGATTAAGTGCAAAGGGAAGGTGAACATGAGCCCCACCTGAGCTGACCCTTCTTGGATTTTTAAAAATGAATCTTCTTTCGATTGCAGTTTTCAGAGGGGAACTCCTACTTGGTGGGGATCATGCATCCCCTGAAGGCTATGCTACCAGGTCTCCAGTACCAGACAGAGACATTTCCACCACCGGGATATTTGATGCATGCCGGCTTCAACAGCAGAGCCATTTGTTAACCTTGAGAGGTCAACTGTGATGAAATTTATTCGTTTGTTATCAAAAGCTTTACTTAGATGGTGTTCAAAATGTTGTTATAAAAGATGCAAGCCCTCAAAGAAGATACTTTCTCAAGAAAATTGTTTGGCTAAAATACTCAAAGCTAAAGCAGACACCAACACCAAACAGAGGAGCTAAACTAATAAAACCTTCACCAGCCTCCACATCAGAACTCTCTCTAAACTGAGCAAGAGGAATCAGGAAACTGCCCAGCCCCCTCCTCCAGCCCCAGGATAGAAGCTTCCTGATCAGGGAAATAACAAACTCTCTGCTAGATCACAGTATTTCTTTCTCTTTCTGGTTCTGCACTATAGATAGCCATATACAAGAGAGCAGAGTAGAGTTTCCTTTCTCTTTTCACCTTACTCACAACTATTCTTCTTTCAGTTACTGTAAGGGAATACACAGTAGAGACAGATGAGAAGATTTTTGACTCCCAAGACTTCAGCACCATAAGGTTCTCTGATGCTAAGCATGGCTGAAAGTTGAATGCAAATCTCTAGGAATGGTTTTGACTACAGACTAGCTTTCAGTCAGAGTGGATAAAAGGAAATGATTAATTAGAAAAAAATATCAAAATTTAAGTAGATTTTTTTAAGTTCCAAAACAGCGTTTTTATAATCTGTATTTGGTTAAGCCCAAATTGTTTTAGAAAGAAGTTTATTTGGATAATAAGTAGAAATTACATTATTATTAACCTTTTAGGACTTGAGTAAAGAACAGCTGTCTGAATCTCAGGCAAAGTACATGCCTTTTACTATTGACTATAATCCAGGCGACCTCATAGGCTTTTCTTGAAAGGTGAAAAAATCTTAGGAAGGAGAATCTCTATAATTGAAGTGCTGAAGCAAAAGGAAACCCACAAATTCTAGTAAGTAACACAACTTTCTAAGCAACACACTCCAAGGCCTTAAAATTCCTGGAATCAAATTCTTCCTTACACTTAACCTGTGTCTGTTTTATCTTGGGAGTAAAAAAAAAAAAAAAAGCATGCCATCCCTCGGGAATTAACTCTTCATTTATATTAAAGCTATAAATCACCAGCCACCAAGCACTGACTGAAATTAATATCCTAGTTCCTATGCCATTTCCACTTAACTTCCAATTCACCAGTACTTATGGGGTAAAAAGAAAGTGGTAGGATTCTGCTTCTAGTTTATAAAATATAGTTGTTAAAATTCTCACTTTTGCTCCTTAGAGTTATACACACACACACAGAGAAAAGAGAGAGAGAGAGAGAGAGAAAAGAAGAAGGGCTGAGATTTTTAAAACTTTTTATATGTTGGTGTCTTTTATTCTCAAAACTTTATTCAAGAAACATTAATACTTATTAAGCACTTAGTATGTTTTCCAGGTACTATTTCCATCTTAATTGCCTTGCTTTTTCATTTTCATGAGTTTCATTCCACTAGATACCTCAGATAATCTCCCTAAGTACTACCTTTCCCGCAGAAAGAAAGAAGAAAAAAATCCAACAGCTAAAACCTGTGGTTCTTTATCTTTTTTTTTTTGAGGGCTGTTACCAGGCAACTGAAACTCCACTCTTTCAAATGGAGAAGATAACTCAAAATATCCTAGAAGTGTTTCAATCCACTCTAAATTTCATATCTCGCCACTGCTACCTCCAAACAACTATTTAGGATCCTAAAACCCTGGCTGGTATAGAGTTTCTAACTGCCCACACACTATCCAGAATGCGGCTCTGTCTAAACTCCTTAATGTTCCCCAGGAATCTCCTAACAGGATAATCTTGAATCATCACTGAATTTTTTTATCACCCATATCTTTCCATCTCAACTTATCCTGGAATGGAACAAGCTGTGACCAGGCATGGGACTGACCCAGAGCTTGATTTGAGAGATCTCTCTGTCCCTAGGCCCAAGTTTAATATGGCAACTCTTTGAAGGAATTCTCCCCCAAGGACTATGCAAGTTGAGTCTGCACACTGTGGTTCTCTTTTTAGTTTAGCAATGGGGACTCAATTAATTTTTAGGAGCAAACAGGTTTCTGTGGAAGCCACCTAATGTCTATACTTATCATGACTATTTTTAGTGGAGCGGATCCACATGATCTCCTGATTGGCACTGTTCAACATCTGACCAATTCAATAGTTTAAGTTGTCCTCACTGTCATCTCCTTGAATATACCAGGCTACAGCGTACTGAAGCAGAATAAAACATTCTTGCAAATCTAAGCAAAGGAACCTAGGGGGTGGGATGGGCATCTTTCAAGTACTATCGTGACAATTGTTGTTTATATCTAATTCTGAGATTCTGCTCCCCAAAAGTGTATATATGGTCCCACATTCCTTTCAATCATCCTCTCCATTTTTAATTACAGGGTGTCAATACAATAACATATTTTTAAAACTTTCCTTTGCATATGTATGGATTCTCCATTAAAGAGGGGAACCTTATGGAGTCCTGCAGGTTTAGAGTAAAATTCTATTTGGTTTGAATGTCAAGGCAGAAACAAGTTTGTTTCTAAATGATAGAATAGTTACTCCAGGCTAAGTTATTCCACATTTCCTTTAATTACTGGTACTGGGTTTTTATCTATCAGTACTATCAGCTTTGCAAACCTCAGGCCAACAATCACAGAAGTTGAGACAGCACCGTGAAGGGAAATCAACCTAGTCAAGCTAAAGAAACTTGCATCTGCATTTCTCCCAAGCTGAATCACAAACAGTCCACACCCATCCTGATCCCTCTTCAAATAATTTCTTCATTTACTTGTGTGGCACTTCCTGACAGTAAGGAATGGGCTTGACTGGATGAGCTATTATCTCATTAGGATTTGTGAAGGAACCAAACAGACTGGAATGCTTTCCACCAGCCCCCCTCCCACCACCCCTCTCCATCTCCCGGCCCGGGCCACCGTTTGTACTGTTTGCCTTTTCTCAGTTTCTGTGTTGTCCAAGAGAGATAGATAAGCTCCTGAAATGATTACTACCACCCTGCATTAGCTTTCAAAGCCACTAACAACTTTTCCATGTTTGGTAACTAATGTGTGATAGAAATGTTGACAATGTAAAGCGAGAACTAAACCACAGACCAGAACCTCTCAGAATAAATGGAAATCACCTAAAGGTTCTCTGGGAGCCCCTTCCACAGTTCTGTTCAAAACACGTGTGACTTTTAAGGTAAGATTGAATTTCATTGGGTTTTAATCAGCAGGAATGCCAAGAACGGTAATATAAGTAAACGTATTGGGGTTTTCTGTTTCAATATGATAGTTTTAAAATGAATTTTATTTTTTCCACTTTGTCCTTGTAGATCCAGAAGAAAATCATGCAGTCTCTAAATCTGATATCCTAGAAGAACTACAAAATTTGATATTCATTGAGAAACATGGTAAATCCCCACACAGGAGGAGATCAATGCACAATGCTGTCCCTTCACTTTGCTGCGTGTATTCCTGCTGCTGGAGGCTCATTTATAACAGTGTACCTGGAGCCATAAGGTCATGGCTAGGGTCTCTTTCTATGGTACAACAAGGACAGATGGATATTATAATTCAGCTTGAGAGACTAAAAGAGAAAATAAGGCAGATGGCTTGCTAAATATTTGCTTCATTTCAGGGCCATGCTAAGTTTCCTTTGGCTGTTGATTGAAAGCCTGTTGCTGAAAAAACCCTGAGGCTGCACTGCAGCAACTGCTGTGTCTAACTAAGCCGGGCGATGCTGAAGGCACGTTGCCCCACATTTCTCCACATTGTCTTGGGCTCCTAGAAATAATATAGCCAATGAGGCGCTCTTAGCAACGTTGTTCTCACTTGGGTTGATAAGGAGTGAACAAGTACTCCCTAGCTGAGCTTTTCCTCCCAGAAGACCTCAGACTGAATTAGGAATGCCTTCACAAACAAAGCAAGGAGGAAAATAAACATGCTTACGCTTAACCATATTCAAACGTCAGTGACTGGAACAGCCTTTTTTGAGGCAACATAGTAGAGAGTGACATTGGTTTCCATTGCGGCCTATTGGTGATAAATATGTGATGTGTACATTTAAAAGGGTAGCACTCACTTCATCTGAGCCTTTCTTTTTCAAAACCTACTGTGTGCCTGGCATTGCTCAAGATGATGGAACTACGGTGGTTGAGAGGTAGGAGACAATGACGTAAACTATGCCAACATAATTTTGGATTGTGAAGGAAACAAACAAAGATCGGATAGCATTAATAGGGCTGCGAGGAGACGGATGGTTAGTCCACGTGGGAATGGAGGAAGAATCAGCCACACAGGGAGCCAGAGAAGCCATCCCCACAGAGGACACAGCAAATGCAAAGGCCATGAGGCAAGAAAGAATAGAAAATGCTCAGAAACTCATGGCAGAAAGGAAAGAGTTTTTTTGTGTTTCCATTATTGTTTGATGATTCAGTCTGTATTGGAAAGCTGAGAAATAAAGGAACAAAAGTATACAATAAACAAGTATAGGTTAATTAAATGTGTTTCCTTTTTAAATCCATCTATTATTTCAGACATTTTCTGGAGAGAAGAACAACTTTTTTTAAAAAAAAATTTTTTTTAATGGCAACTCGATATAATGTTTGGCTTGTTTTTTCTTTTGGGTGCTCAGCAAAATGCTGCAAAAATGGTCTGCATGTTAACCCTTGATTTAGATTGTTTTCTCAAACATACTCCCTGAACGCATGCTGTTAAGCTACATATAGAGCCCTAGTGTTGAATCCTTTCTTACTTCATCTTTCTTCGAGAAGCCTTCTCCTGGCAACACCTAGATTTCAATTTAAACAGACTCACGTATGGTAACAAATCAACTCCCCTAGGCACAGAGTGGACTGTGCCAGGCCTTTAACTAAGATTCCACAGGGGTCTACTGATCTAGGACTCTAATTAGGTGGAGTTCACTCATTGCAGGATGACACAGCTCTTCATAAGGCAAAGACCACCTTGTGCATTAATTAGGGCAAAGTTCTGTTTGAGACTCAGTCTCTGGACAGCCTTAGCAGAGCAGCAGGTTTGGTGTCCTTGTCATCTCTGTGTTACGGCCTTCTAAGTCTGCATCCCGCTGAGCCTTAGTCTATGTGCAGAATCAAATACACTTTCTTCTGCTTGGTTGATTTTGATATTTCAATACATGATAAATGATTGCCAATCAATCAGCTGGATCATTGCACAGAAAATCCAATCTGATCATCATGTTCACATCTCGTTGTTTTATTCAATTAATGAACAAACAGGACCAACCACAAAGAATTTTGGTTCCTGAACAATAACTTAGACTCATAAACTTCCCAACAGAAACCTGATGAAAACCAATCAATTTAAGGCACATGTATACAAACATGGCATATGTAATGAGTAAAACATAAATTAGTAAAAAAACAAAAACAAAAACAAAAAACTTCAGAAATCTATATTTCTTATTGCATCACTGAAATAAATCAGTCTCTAATATATTCAGATTTAACTCTCTTATGCTTACTCTTGTTCACTACTCTCAGCTTGTGTTTCTGAAAAGTTTTATGTAAACCCAAGTTCTGTAAACTGAATTGTATTTCAGATACATTAATTTATTGCTTAAATTATAAATCTGTTTGTAATTAATGAAGTCTTCTCAAACATGTCTCTGGTGCAGAGTTGGAATTTCATATAACAGCTTTACTTAAAAGGCAGGTTTTGTTGCAAAATTTTGTGTTTCCCAGCTAATTTGTAACACTCATTAGTAAACCTAAATTTGTGGTCGGACTCATCCATGAAAAAACAAAAGAAAGTCTTATTTCTGTATTCTAAAAAAAGTCGGGTTGGGGGAGCAGTTTGTGTTTCCAAATCATATAAGCTGGAGCCAGGGGTGGGGGGGGAATGTAAATACGAATTCTCTATCATGCATATTTTCTTTTGTGAGGGGTTTGACTGCAATACGATTAAATAGAATATACTCATGTGCACTGCTTGTTAAGACAGCATTTTTTTTGTTAAATGGCCATGTCAAATAAACATGATTTATGTCCCCTTTTTGTTACCCATAATCTTGTTGTCCATCTAAATCTTTGTGACATACTATCTCCAGGTTACCTGGAGCTTTGTCAAATCTCCCAGAACCCAACCTCTCTCCTTTCTCCCAACTTCTTGAAAATCTTCCTCTTGCTGTCCTATGTGAGAGAAACCTTTTATTTTTTAATGCTTTTTATATCAGAAAGACCAATGGTTTATTTGAGGGAAATGTATTTAATATTTAAATACATATAAAAATAAATGGCATACAAACCATTCTACTTACGTTTTATTAAGCTCATTAAAAGGGGATAAAATGGATTCAGAAGACACAGGAACTTAAAAATCAGCGCCATTAGAACCACTTGAGCAAAATCAAAACTGAATGAATGGAAAACATGCACAATTTTAGTCACTGCGAATGTGAACTCACAGAAATAAGAAGATCTGGTTTCTAATTGTTTCACATATCTGTTTTACATTCAGCGTTCTCCTCCACGTCATATTTGCTAAAGAGATCTTCGTCGTCAATAGCAGTCTGCAGTGTACCAGAGCAGAGTTTAAAAATCACCTTAGGTATGTACAAGCCTCCTTTCTCATGTAAGTATTATAGAATGAGAATCTAATAAAGAATGTTACGTGTATATTCTAAACTGCGTATTGCAAAGTTTCATCATTAGACTTGAACTCAGTCAACTTTAACAACGACTACCAGCAGCCCCTTTCAATTAATCTGTTCATACATTACTTTTCCATATAACTAAGCTAGTTTGGAGTTGAAAAGGAAGAAAAATGTGTTTGAAACCACTGATTCTTTTTCATTCATTTTCTTCCAAATTAAAGGAAATGACACTATGTTTATTCCAATATTTTAATAAAATTTTCTCTAAGATTTAAAAAAATATACTACTCTGAATGTAGGTTGGTATTTTTTTTAAAGGTTGCATTATAAATCAAAACTCCTAAAAATAGGAGTTTATGGTGGGATTGACAGTATTTTAACTTTAAAGGCATGAGGGTGTCCTTTTACAGAGGCCTAAATCAAATACAGAAAAAAGTGATGTGTTGCCAGGATGTTCAATGCACTTTCCTTTAATTGCCATATATAGTTAATAGCCTGGTCATTTTTTTCTAAATAAAATAAGTCAGAAAGTTGCAAGCAACTCGATTACACAATATCTTACCATGCAACGTATCAAAAACAAAGAATTTAATCGTTCTGTGGTCTGGGTTGAATTCAACACTGAAATCTTTTCATTGAACTTCACAGCAACAAAGAATTTCAGACTTTCAGATGACCATCTTTGAAGTTGGATAGAACTCTGACCATATTACGATTGTCTGATACTGAAAAAGGACAAAGTACAGAATCCAGTATTCCAACCAAGATTTGGGCTGATCTGAGAAACTGGAGAAAAGTACTGTGAAGGAATTGCAGATATAGAATGACTGGATAGGTCATTTGATCTTGCTTCTGAGACTGAACTTAAAAACCTGTTTCAGATTAAACAGCATTTCATTGCTTTCTTTTTTCTTTTTTTCACACAAAAATACTCCTACAGATTAAAAGAAACCATCAGAATGGAAGTAAAAGAATTATGCAGTATATATTATATCTACATAGGTCCGGAAAGTTCCTGAAATTTACTCAAGCTTTACTCAAAATATTGACACTATTTAGTATCAAACCAAACTCCGGGAGTACACAGAGGGCCTTCCTACAATGCATGTGATCAGGGACAGCAATGATCTTATCCCATAATATATCACAAAACAGTGGAAAAAAATCATCTCATATTTTTAGAAATCATGCTCTTATTAGCTCAAATATATAGTTTAGGCAGTCAACATTTTGTGGCTTCCATCATTTTCAAAGATTATGCTGCACAAAATTGTATAGAGAGTATTTTGACTTACACATTGACTTTTTTAAATATAGGAGTGATTGTAGCAATAGCATTGATTGTAGCTTTAATTTACATTATCAAGAAAACTACACCAAATAAATTCAAATTATATTTATATAATTTTGATATAAATCTTGAATCAGATAAGTCTCAACATTTAATAAATGTTTTTACCACATTAATTTGCATTTTAACAGTATTTTCCGCACAGAAAATCTGTGATGCATATTTAATTATGGCATGGAATTTTTTATTATACTTTCTTATGTAGTTTAGAATATATAAAATTAAATATAATTATACTTTTGTTCACAGAATAATTTTAAATGCTATTCTTCATTAATGGTCAAAATATTAACTGCTAATTATTGAAAAATTCAAATTTTTATCTCAAGAAGTAAATTAAAAATACAGAAACTGAAAAGTATACAATAAAATACTTAAATACATAATTTTAGAGGTTGTGTGAAAATAGTGTCTTTATTTGAAATATTCTGAAATAAACATTTTTTCAAATGTTTAAATAAATTTTTTTTAAATAAACTTAGAACATGTAATTAGATGAAGCAAAATCAATGATACATCAAATTACATGCACATCATCAGAGGAGAAATAATTGTATCAATGTAAAAAGCTAAACCTAAAATAACAAAACTGGTAAAATTTTGTTCTTATGACTCCGGAAATATGCCATCACCACTTTATATTTATTTTTATTACACGTGTTTAATTTTCAATTAGTTAGACTATTATTCATTCTCTTACAATTAACACCGAGCTTAAGAGTTTGAACTAAAAAAAAAAATCACCTAGCTGTTTCTAATGACTTAAATTCATTATACCTTCAATTCTTTTTGAAACTGAAATTCTTCGCGATTAGAAAGCCAAGTGTCCTGAGAATATTTTTGCTTAAATCTAGTCCAATTTCTGAAACAATATAAATACACAAAAATATGCCATACATGCAAGGTACACGTTCTTAAAGAAGCTGGAAGCTTCGCTGAACTATCTTGGGACAAGAACTAAGCAGGGAGCAGAACCGTGCTGGCACCTAGTGGCGGACGGCGGTAGGACAGTTGTCTACCTTGGCTCTCAGGCACGTTGGGAGAACACATTTTAATTATTTTAATCTATGCTTTCTATCACACATATTTGAAAGGAAGATAAATGAAAAGTATCTGGAGTAATTAATCCTAACTATGCAACCAAATGTTATGATTTTAATTTTATGCAAGGACAGAAAGAAAATTTGGAGGGGTAGAAGTGGTGGAGAGGAAAAAGACCAGCTGTGGTGAAAAATATAACGTGGTGAAAAGACTTGTGCAATTTTCTTTTCCCTTGATATGTTCTGCCAAAGCTGGTCACACTAGTCTGTTCTCCATCAAGCAAAGAATTTTGATGAAATCAAGTGACCGGCTGTTTGTGAAGTTCAGTCTGTATTTGGGACATAAGTAACCAAATAGTACTTATACTACTTATACACTAAATTTGGAGTTTTCAAACTAAAATATTATGTGCAGAGGTATAGTTATTTTTCCTTCATGGCACTTTTTAGTAGGAGGGTAAATTTAGATTTGAGCCCCTCCCCTAGTCCACCCCCATCTTTTGGGACTGGGGAAGGTATGGTTCCAGTAGAGAGCTGCTTCTGCCTTAGAAGGCAATGAGTCAGAAACGCAAATCTGAGCAAAGGCGGAATTACTACTACATGCCAGAGAGAGTCACACATCAGTCAAGTCCACCAAGTGAACTCTATAGTCTTCCCAATTGTGAGACTCTATGATTTGCTGAAGAAAGAATTCTATTATATTTTCCTACATAGGGAGATAGATTTTAGTCACTGTCCCTGTGTTTAAGACTGAGTCTCACTCTGTCACCCAGGCTGAAGTGCAGTGGTGCAATCTCAACTCACTGCAGCTCTCTGCCTCCCGGGTTCAAGTGATTCTCCTGCCTCAGCCTCCCGACTAGCTAGAATTACAGGCACGCTCCACCACACCCGGCTAATTTTTGTATTTTTAGTAAAGACACCCTTTCACCATGTTGGCCAGGCTGGTCTTGAGCTCCTGGCCTCATGTGATCTGCCCGCCTTGGCCTCCCAAAAGTGC
Source organism: Homo sapiens (assembly GCF_000001405.40). Taxonomy (NCBI): domain Eukaryota; kingdom Metazoa; phylum Chordata; class Mammalia; order Primates; family Hominidae; genus Homo; species Homo sapiens. Next base: position 36,943,460 of record NC_000014.9, read on the forward strand.
TGGGATTACAGGCATAAGTCACCGCACCTGGCCCTAGGCTTGTTTTGTATCATGTCTTAGACATGTAGGGGTTTATTTCAGAGCACACAAATGAACTATTCTAAGTATTCACACTATTGGAGGGCTGCTTCTGTCCCTCTGAGTCCCTGCCCTGCTGCTATATGTAAGACCAAGATGAACTGCCCCTGGTAAATCGGTCCTTGTGAAAGTCTGGGGAAATGCCAGGTAACCCAGTGACAGTTCCACTTGGCTCTTTGTAGCTTACACAGTACCAAACCTGAGAGAGCACTGCAAAGTCAGGTCAGGAAGGTTTCGCCAAGGCTTGGAAATAAGAACAGGGTATGAGTCTTATACCACCTAACTGGGCCTTCCAGTTAGCAAGAAGCCTTTGTTTAAAAAGCTGGCTAAGAAACCTCCTAGTAACATATTTCCCTGTAACAAGTTTAATTAATTAATTGAAAAAATACATAGTAAAAGATGTTTATATTAAATATAAAATTATCACCACTAAATTTATTAGAGGAGATAAAAGGCAACAGATTGGGCCTAATTCACTCCAAGAAAAGGATACCCAATTCCCTCTGAAATCCCAAATTCATACATATAAAAATTCTGCTCTAATCCTTCTCCATTTACATCACAGAGCCATGCTCCCGTGTTGGCCTCTGTACTGAAGAGTGACCAGAGGTAAATGCAGGTGCCTCTGGCCAGTTGTCAAGGTCATATCCTGAATCCTGTCGACACCTGGGACCCTAGCCCAGCATACTGTCGGGCAAGGACAAACCCATAGCCTGCCATTAATAGGGGAGGAAAGACATGTGGACAAGTAGCAGACAAAAGTGATTGTCCCAGTGGGCTTTGAGAAATTGTTATGGGAGTCCAGAGGAAGAAAACTGCCTTCAGCTTGCGGTAGGAGTTGGCAGGTTGCGGGTGGAGGGCATAGGGTATCAAGGAAGGCTTTCTGAAGGAGGCAGCTGGGCCTTGAGAGATGACTAACACTTAGTAAACCATGCTGGGGGAGGAAACATCACAGATAGTGAGAGGATCTCCTCTCTCCCTCATCCACACAGGCTGTGGAGAGCGACATCTGTTCCACAGTCTTCTCCCTGAAGGGTGGGGCTCCAAGGGCCGGCTCCAGTGTAAGCATAAACAAGTGACTACGAATGTCCTATTCAATACACAAGAAAACTCATGAACATTTGTAAAGCATTTCTAAGCCACAGAATTCATATGTGCCTCCTTAACAAAGATAAATTTCACATTTTTCCCTTTCTCACAGTTTGTCCCATCTTCTCTCATTTTATTGAGTAGAATGAGCCTTACCTCAAAAGCCAAACAAACACTGACCCAAGATGAGATGCCCTAAAGCTAGGTCCACTGCCTGAAGCTGACTCATCCCATCACAGTTTATTTTTGTTGTGTGAATCAATTCTAATTTTCAAACTGAAATATATGATGGTTTATCATCATTTTGACCTTTTCATAACACTGCTGGTACAGTTGCTGAGAACATGCCAAATCATGTTGATTTCTTCCTTTTTCTAGGAGTGTTCATCCTAGTCAGTCTTCTCAGGACAACCAAAAGCCAAAACCGAAACAAACCAAAAACCTCTTTCCCCTGACTCAGATTATTATTATTTTTAGTTCTTCAGGACTACCTGTGAGGATAAGAAGAAGTGGTTACCCAGTCCATCAGCAAAATGTCCCCATAATCCTTTCAAACTACTGAGAAATAAGGTATGTTATCTTCACTTAATGAAGAAACTGAGACATAAAAGTAAAGAATATTGCTACAAATGGAGGCAGAAATACAAGTTGATACCATGTGCCCAAGTGAGACATCTCATTTTTAGCCTGTGTAAGACAAATTTTAACCATATAATCCAGAAAATCCACTTCTGGGCATATACCCCAAAGAACTGAAAGCAGAGACTTGAAGAGATATTTGTACCCCCACATTCACAGCAGCGCTATTCATGAGAGGCAAGAGGTAGAAGCAACCCGTGTTCATCGACAGATGAATGGAAAAACAAAATAAAGTATATCCATACAAATGGAATATTATTTAGCCTTAAAAAGGAAGGACATTCTGACACATGCTAACATGAATAAACGTTGAGGACATTATGCTACATGAAATAAGCCAGTCCTAAAAGGACAGATACTGTGCAATTCCACTTATATATGGTATATACCTAGAATAATCAAATTCATAGAAACAGAAAATAGAATGTTGGCATCAGGGGCTGGGGGAGAAGATAATGGGGAGCTAGTGCTTAATGGGTACAGAACTTCAATTTTGCAACAGGAAAAGAGTTCTGGAGATGAATGGTGGAGATGGCTGTGCAATAATGTGAATGTACTTAATGCCACTGAACTATACACTTAAAAATGGTTAAGATGGTAAATTTTATGTTATGTGTATTTTGCCACAATAAAAAACTAACTTTATTTAATGAAGAAAAAAGGTGAAAAAATTTCACCATTCAAAGTCCAAAATAAGAATTTGAATATATAAACATAAGCAAGCTAGCAACATAACCTCTAGCCCTATGATGTACCTATTATGTGAATGCTTCCGTTAGCACAAGAAAAAAGGATCAGATAAATTAGTGAATACCTCAAGGATGTAAGTAGAAACATTTTAGATTTATAGCAAGAAGCAAGTAGAATGGTGTTATCAACTGCTTATAAATATTAAACACATAGGAGACAAGTTTGCAAATGCAAACTTACTTCTTGTCATACTGTACCAGTGTAGTACAAATTATATCATTAAAATACAATGTTAAAAGCTTTAAAGCGTCAAGGATCTCACAATCCATAGGTATGTTCAAGAATTAAGTCCTCTTGTTTCTAAATAATGTCTGTATTTAGTATCCAGTAGCCATCATTTGTACAGGAGAAAGAAAGTGAGGGTAGTTAGTTTAAATGTAATTAATTAAGTTTACCATGAGTAAACTTATATTTGATTGACTATTAATACCAATAAATAAATGATTCCATACGTAAATAATAGCAATAGTAATTCCAATGAAAGTTTAGTGTTTGTGTCCTTAAATCTTTCAATGGCATTAACATGTGCCCTTAAACTTCTATTTTGCCTGCCTGGTATAAATAGAATTAAGAAAAATATCTTAATGTTAAATACCAGGTAGGTGAAACTTTTCTTCCCTAAATAATTTCTTCAGGTGTGTTGTCACATTTCTCAGCTGACCAATTAATTAAAATCTAGGTAACAGTTGGTTTTGCTCAACGAATGTCCAGCCTAGCAGTTCAGTGAATGATGGCCACCCCATAATCTCAATAATTCCTCCAGGATGTCAGCTTGTCATGGCCTGACCATGAAACATAACTTGACAAATAAAGGAAGTGAGTTACTATACAAACCAACCTGTGCTCAGACCATGTTTTAATATTTTATATGTGTTTATCTGGCATAATATTATAGTATTTTTTCAGTCTGTCTTGTAGCAGTTCATTCTGGACACTATTTATCTTTAGTAATAATTGCTTTTAATGCCAAGAAATTACTTTATTCTATATCCTCCAGCTCTCCTAGACCCACCTCATGTGTTCAGCAAAAGTTTCTAAGTCATCAACTACTTTACTCTTTGGCGGTTTCAATTCTAGCCTTTTGAAACAGCCCATAAGTGATAATGAAATGCATAAAGCAATGAGAAACAGAATCCAATTACATCTACCTGCATAGTTCAGCTGCACACCAAGTAACAATAAACAGGCATTCTTAAGTCACAGCATTTCACTGGAAATGGGGCAGAACTTGTGTATTTTAACAACTTTCAACAACAAGTAACCACTACAGCATTTATTTTACTTTCTGAAAGAAAACCAGAGAAGGTTCATAATTTAAACCAAAGAGTCTTTCAGTCTTGAAGACAAAAAGCACTTCTGCTCAGCACCTGAGTAATAATGTGGGATGTGTACAGGTGAATTAAGAAGACTGGCCTCAAAGATAGTTTGTCTTCAGCTGGTCTGAAATGTCTGACTCCTTTCCAGCCCTGGGATCATTTATTATCCAGCAAAGAAAGGCTGGGTTTTTGCTCCACAAACACAGAGCTGGTCCTCAGCTTATGATGATTTACCATGTCTGCTCCGTAATGCATGACACACACTGCTTCAGAATGGCTTCTCCCCATATATAGACACACACATCTGATGATATTTTAGGTCTGATTTACTTTTGTGCCATTGAAACCAGAGTGTTCTGGTCACCTGCATACATTTTCTCTCTCCAATGTGATACTCAAAACACATTTTAGGGGGTATTTTATATTAAACCATATGTATCTGAACATATACAGTGAAAGCATCTCAGGTTTTATTAGGTTAGTAATCCGATATTCATTTTTCCTCTTAGAAGGAACTGTCTTTAAGACCTAGAGGTATTGCACCCAAAACACATTTCAGGCATTACTCGATTCTAAATGATATGTATGTGGAAATAAATAGTGAAAGCTTCTCAAGGAATGTTGAGTTAGTAACCAGATATTTCTTTTTCCTTGAAGAAGGGACCATCATTATTCCAAAGTATGAATATTTTATAACAGCACAGAAAAATATATGGCATTATAAGGGGCTTTAGCTCTGATAGAAGCGTGCACACATCAGTTTAGAAATCCTAGTTCTTAAGAATGCAATTCTGACTTTAAATCTACACCATGTACACATTCCCTGACAAATATAACTAGAATTACTGCCTTATTTATGACATACCTAGGTGTGCAGACTATATGTATAAAGTCAGTGGCTTCGATTTTTTTATTTGCCACTCTAATTAACTGGGATAATACAAGTCAGAAAACAATAAATTCTTAGTTGGTATATAGCTTTATTTACTTTCCTTAGATATAATGGTAGCGCATACAAGTGGATTCAGTTATGCTTGTCATTCTCTGCAGGCATAAGTTATAAATCTGTCACAGATAGTTTGGCATAGCTAACAAGTTTGCACTCAGAGAAAACTGTTCTGTAGTAATAAGCAGAGAACAGATAAAAATAATAATAAAGAATCATTGAATAAGACCCTGCTTGAAGATAATGAAAGTAAAAAGACATCTAGTAGAAGAACATCATAAAATGATCAACATTAAAAAGCAGAGTACAGTTACTCCACAGTATCAAATTGTGATGAAAAGTTTCGCTTTCTAATTCTCTATGTCTAAAGTTATGCTGCCAAATATGTCAGCCACTAGCCACAAGTGGCAATTGTGCACTTGAAATATGGCTAGGCTGAACTGAAATGTGTTGTAGATATAAAATGCACACCAATTCCAAAGACGCGATACTAAAAACAGAATGTAAAAGACCTCATTAATATTTTAAATTAAATATTATGTTAATATTTTAAATTATGTTAAATAAAATGTATTACTAAAATAAATTCCACCTGTTTCTACTTTTCTCTAATGTGGCTATTCAAAAGTTTGGATTTGTCATATATGGTTTGCATTATATCCCTATAGGACAACACTTGGTCTAAAAGATAAAGTCACAGAATGTGAAAACCAGTTGAGAACTTACAAATCATCTTGCCCAGTCTGTTGCATTTGACAAACAAGGAAAGTGAGGCTTACAGAGATCGAGTGATGGGCTCTGGTTAAGCCAGAATTAGAATTGGATTCTCTCAGAGGCCAGTGTCTGAATATCAGTCCAGCTTTCTTTGAGGGAGAAAAAGAGAGATAATGACTTGTCTCAGTCACCACAATCAAAAGTACATTCCTTTCAAAACCCTCTTCTCATCTTTGGAAATGTAATACCTATAAGAAGCTTTGATCTTGACTTATAGTCATCTATGTAATCATCTTCATTCTCCTCTTGACCTTGGTGATGGACACACCCCAAGGCATGCCTCTTATATACTGTGAAAATTGTTTGTATGTATCCCAATGAAGATTTTTAATTCACATTATTAAGGCAAGTTATTTAGAAAGTGAATACATTTGTAAACCAAACCAATTTAAAATAAACTTTAAACTTGTCTTTAAAGCACAATAAAGGTTAAGTCATTTTTCCCATGAGCTCTAGTTTTCTTTCTCAGGAATTCTCCACCTTGTCCCCTGCCTCCTCTGCACTTCCTCCCCGCTGCCTGGCCCCATGCCTACTCAAAGGGCTTCTCCTTTCTACAGTCAGTTCCCTGTTTATGGGATTTTTTTTTCCTTCGTTGAACAACTTTCACATTTTATTTTTACTGTTATTGCCATGATATCAAGTTTAAGTTTATATATTAATGTCCATTTCTAGATTCCTATTTTCTAAAAGTCTAGAGTTGAATTGGGACAGTAAATGGAAAACAGAGGAAACAGGAGATGCTTTTCTCAACTCTGAGACTTTTAGCCTTCAGTATGGGTTGAAGCATTTTTCAAAGCAGGCAAATAGACAACAATGGGTTTCTTCAAAAAGGTGGGGGAAGGGGCTCTGGACACATTCTGCATCCAACATGTACAAGAAAACTCTGGGTTAAATACAATTAAACAGTATTCTTTTCCAAAGTACATATCAGAGACTTTATAACGGTAATGTACAGTCTGACTCTCCAAGAAGGGGATGTAGTATGCAGAGTTCTCCAAATCTATTTAAATACTGTAAATGCTGTTCTGACAGAGCATCTTAGGAGACTAGTATTCCATAGAACATATTTTGGGAAACCTTGAACCATGTAATTTGTCGCAAGGTACCTTTATAAAACCACATGTCACCTTTCACATTTATATTATTTCTGAATAACACCCATGATTTTGTTCATTATTTATCCAATAAACTTTGATTAGCTTGTTATGGATTGAACTGTGCCCCCCAATTCATAGGTTAAAATCCTAATCCTAATGTGACTACATTTGGAGATAGGGCTGTTAAGGTGGTAATTAAGATTAAATGGGGTCGTAAGAAGGACCTTCATCCAATAGGACTAATATCTTTATAAGAAGAGGAAGAAATACCGAAGATATATTTCTTCCTGAAGGTCACATGAGAACATAGCAAGAAAGTTGCCATCTGCAAGCCAGGAAGAAAGGTCCCACCAGCAACCAACCTGCCGGCACCTTGATCCTGGATTTTTGGCCTCTAGAACTAAGAGAAAATAAATTTCTGTTATTTAAGCCACCCAGTCTGTGGTATATTGTTATGGCAGCCCTAGCAAATGAATTCACAATTCCTATTATGTTTAGGAGATGCAAACGGTGAACAGACATAGCCCCTGGCTACTGGGAATTTGCATTCTAGTTCAAGGGCAGTGTGGGAAATACTGAGTAAGTTTCTTGTATGAAGCTAATCAATTACTTGATACAGAGTCAGCAGCTTGTTTCCCCACAACCTAACATCCAACTGACATTCTTATTGCACGGGAATACTCAAATTATTTGTTTTGCAAATACCTAGCTGAAGAAATGAGCCAGCTGGACCTCTTACCTCTCTCTCATTTTCTGGAAAAACCTGGAATTGCAGCAAGGAATGCATATTCTAGGCTCCCCTCCACAACTGCTCTCCAGGAGCTCAAGGCTCTACACCCTCCATTTCCTCAGCAATGGCTGCAGGAACCACAGTGAGCCCTCTCTGCCCCCTAACTCTCCAGAAGAAAAACAAAGCAACCTGAAGTCAACCCCATCTGTCATATACCCTAGAGGCAGTCTTCTCTATCTGTTTCAGAGACAATGTTTTGGTAACTAAACCACTAACCAAAAACTACTCACTACTTCTTTAAAAATACACAAAAAGAGCAATAGTTTAACAATAGTTTGCCTTCTCTACTGCCATTACAAAAAAAAAAAAAAAACTATAACCAAATAGCCTACTTTAAAGCAATCAATTCTGTTTAGAAAGAGGATTCAAGCAACATAATACCTTAAAATAGAAAGAGAATGTTAAAAAATAATAATAAACAGGAAATGCAGGGATTGCTGACTAGTTATATTATTTCCACTATTTTTTCCACAGCACTGTCTCTAAATTATTGAACTCTCTGCATCTCAAAGCCAAACCCCTTACAAACCAATGAACAGACCTTGATTATTCTAGCCATGTTGCTGGAGCAAATAAAACAAATAGGGCCTCTCTTATCCACAGACACGTCCATTCAACAAAGTCCTTATGTCTAAATATTTGTGCAAGGTATGCATTTTTTTTTTGCAAAGAATTGTTTTGCAAAAGCATCAACAAATAATTTAAAATAATAGTACTAAAGCAATTCAATAACTATTAAGATGATCCAGTCTAGGCCTGGCTGGTGGAAATATTGCACAATTCTACACACAAACAACACAGAATCAATTCAGAGCTTCTAATACAGGCTTCTAGGTTATCCAGAGATCACAACTGCTAAGACCCTGCATTCTGAAAGCCCACAAAATGATTCGCTGGTTACATATACTACAAGTAGAGGACTCCTGCAATGACTTCATTTTTGCCCATGCTTCAGGTAGTCTTGCTTCAGGTACAATGAAAGCAGAGTAAACTTGGGCCAATAAAAGAGAATCAGGCAGGGTGCAGTGGCTCATGCCTGTAATCCCAGCACTTTGGGAGGCCAAGGAGGGCAGATCACTTAGGTCAGAAGTTCAAGACCAGCCTGGCCAACATGATGAAACCCCATCTCTACTAAAAATACAAAATTAACTGGGCATGGTGGTGCGTGCCTGTAATCCCAGCTACTCACAGGCTGAGGCAGGAGAATCACCTGAGCCTAGGAGGTGGAGGTGCAGTGAGCCGAGATTGCGCCACTGCACTCCAGCCTGGGCAATAGAGCAAGATTCCATCTCAAAAAGAAAAGAAAGAAAGAAAAAAGAAAGAATCAGAGTAGAATAAATAAATGATTGTCTTCTTTCCTTTGGTTTTTGGCAATGTAGATATTTAAGCAGGAAATAGAAACAAATAGAAATTTATATGTAAATTCTATTTCCTGCTTAAATATCTACATTGTCAATTTCAATTTGTGGGGAGGAAGTCATTTATTATTTCTTGTTCTTAAAGATTCTTATATTTACATGTCTATTGTTTCTGTTGATAAGTTTCTTAAAAGGTAGAATTCTTTTCTTAATTTTATTACTATACTATCACATGTAAATGGTCACTAAATGTAGGAGTCTCATCCTGAGCAAGGACAAATGACATTGTATTAGAAACAAACTGTAGACCGAATAAGTCTAGACTTAAAAAAAGTCCCACCATTTTCCAGATCCTTGGGGTTTAAACTGACAATTCTTGGGAATGCCATGATAAAATAACTAAGGGTAAAAACAAGACAAAACAAAAACAGTGATTCCTTAGCGTTGTGACAATAAATCCCCAAATACAAGGGTCCCATTTTTATCCAGTCAGCAAGGGTGTGGCCTTGGGCAAAAAGACTACACCTTCTGTAGCTTGGGTTTGGTTCCCAAGTTGTCATGTTTCAGGAATGAAGAACGGGATATTCAAGAAGACTTCTCTCAAATGACGGGCTATTTACAGAGCATTTAGATCTGGTTACTCATCTATCATCAAGCTGTGGCTATCCAGTGTTCTCTGGATCCTTCAGTGGTGTTGTGGAATTTGATTTTTATCATTTTGCTATTCTACCTCTGCCTCTATCTATTTAGTTTTGAGGTATCAATTGCCTGTATTATGGTCCATGTCTAAACACTGCTTTTGGTTATCAAGGGTTGAATATCAGAAAATATTTAGTTAACGATAACAAGATGTACTATAAGCTATTACTAATCAGCAATGTGCTTGAACTTTAAAATGTTTCTTAATCATCAACTTTTGAATTTCATATAAATATAGCAAGATATTTTTGGGCTGCTTTGTGTAAATGGCAGGCTGAGCTAAATAACAAAGCTCATACTAATATTTTTCTATGTAGCCCAAAAGATTCACATTGTTTATAACATAAAGATGGCATAAACAGATGATATTAATAAAATTTAGTCATACATCTCACTATATAGTCATATAGATAGCATATATAGTCAGAAATACAAAATACAAAGAAAAAGTCAAAACAGAACAAAACACGATTGTGAAGTTTATAAGTGGTTAGCTCAAAACTGAAAAAAATATGAATCCCTGCACAATGTAGGTTAACATTCAGTAGATGACAAAATGAACAGAGGTAAAAATTCTTAGATAATTTTCTTTATTTCATATCGCAAACAAATGGCTAAAAGTTAGTGTTCCTTACTGGCAGAAACTCATTTTGGCACAAAGTTTTTCAACATAAAAATTTTTTCAGCATAAGACCATAAACAGTATTTCAAATACTACATTTGCTATTAATTGGAAAGACAGAGTATAAATCTGTCACTTCGGAAATTATCATCACAATAGAGGAATTTCTTCAAAAATACTTACCACATAGGCATTTTAGACACTCTTGTGGTTAAGAAATATTAAATTTATTAGATATTTAATACATGCTTAAGTGTATATTATGTGCCAGACACTCTGAAGGGAAAAAAATTGTAAATAGCTTGGTTTTCCAACTGCCTACTGGACATCTTCACATGGAATAATTAGTTTTTTCAATAACATTCTGACTTTATTTGACATCTACAATGTATTAGAAACTGGAGAGTCAAAGGTGAATACAACATGATTCTGTAGAACCAGACTATCATACTGGTGGCCACAACCAAACTGATCGTCCCATCTCTTCTAAACCTGCTCTCATTTTTATTAATTATCATAGTCACTCAGCTGAAACCTGAAAGTCAATCTTGATGCATCATCCCCAGTAAAAAATGTCTCTGATTGTCCTTTGTAATTTCTGCCTCATGTTTCTTCTCCACACCCTTTTACGGAATTCTCTCCCTCTCATCAGGACCTCCCAACTGGCCTCTCCACCTTTGTTGTCTTTATCCTCCCCCCATCCTAGAGAAGTCCTCCTTAGCATAATCCTCGTCTGCTAAAGACTTTCCATTTCTCCTTACTAACTACAGAGGAAGGCCTGAAATCTCTAGCTTGACTTCCCAACGTCCTTGCTGATCTGACCCCAACTTAGGTTTCCATTATTTTCTTTATAAGGAAAACACATACATACATATATATATATAAGAAATAATATATATTTAATTGGAATTATATTTTTAATTGACACATAAAATTCATATATATGTATCATGTATAATATGATGTTCTGAAATAGTCCAGATCTATTGTTCAGCATGGTAACTATAGTAAATAACAATGTATTGTATTTTCAAAATCGCTACGAGAGTAGATTTTAAGTATTGTCACCACACAAAAAAATGATAAATATGTGGGCTAATGCAAATGTTAACTAGCTCGATTGAGCCATTCCATTATTTTCTGATTCCTCCACTTGTCCTTTCCTTTCCTTCCTCTACCTTTCTTCATTTTCTTTGTACCTGCAATGACTTCCCTCTACTTCCACCTATTTAAGGGAGGCACAAATTCTAGGCATCCTTTAAGGCCCAGCTCAAATATTGCCACTCCTAGGATGTTTAGCCAGAGCCATCCAGCTAGAACCAATGATTACTTCTGCATATGTACCTCCCAACCCTATATATAACTTTCTAAGGACATGAGCCACTTTCTACTTCATATTTGGGGAGTTTTTGCATGTTTTTTCTCCACTCTACTTTTGAAGCCATCTGAAAGTTATCTGTCTGATGTGTCTTTGTACCTTCCTCAAAACCTGGCCTAGTGTAGACATTCAATAAATGCTTGTTAAGTGGGTGAGTAAATGAAAGAATGAATGGGCAAACAAACTAAAAATAACTAAAGATGGACATGGTAAAATTCACTTGAATGGTATAATCATCAAAAAAGAAGAATGCACTCCATTGCTCAAGAGGTTATAATAACTAGGTATAATGGCTGACATTATGAAAGAAAGAATTTATGCTAAGTACTTGGAAGATTTTCCCAAAGGATTACTTTTGTACTGTGATAATTTCCCACTTAGTAATGAAAGAAAATTATCACTTGGACTGATACCAAAAGTTTTCCTATTTTTTGTTATAACTCTTTTTATTCATACTGGAAAGGACACTTGGGGACAAGTCTATCCTGTCATTTAGATGGCCTACTTGACTTGTTGGTCTCTTATATTTCTGGATTTTCTGATTTTTTTTTAGCCACAGGCACTGCTAGTAGCAACTCACCATTAGTCATGAAGATTTTAACTGCAGGCACATTAGAGATGACAAACCAAGATTAAAGATGTATGATAAATGTGGTAAAAGCCCCTCTCTTGATTTTTCACATCTACACATCAAGATTTGCACCTCTGGTAAGGAATACATAGGCCTAAGGTTGTTTTTTTTTGTTTTTTGTTTTTTCATTGAAGAGAGTAATTCATCTTGTGGAATGATATCTGTGAAACAACTTAAGAACTGTTGCCTGTGAGGAGGTGGGACATAGAAAACAGTTTCCACACATACACATACAAAAAGTAGGGACTGTTCAAATCCCAGCTTGGTCCTACCCTTTGGTGCTGGTCAATAAACTTGGTACCAGATATAAACAAAACATTCCATTCAACATTATGTCAACCTTCAGCAAGTAGGTCATCCATCACTGTACATTAATGTTCTGAGCACCTGTAAAATCTGATGTGCATTCTTTCAGGCCATTTTTTTCAACTTTGTGTCTGTCAGAGATACCCCCCACTATATACGTATTATTTATGTTGGGAGTAGCTTTCTAAATGTCACCCAAATGAATTAGCATCACGCTGAGCCTCGGAGTTAAGAGAGTCGCCATGTGCATTTATGTGTTTTCTCTCCCCGAATACTGACACATTTATATCCTTTCCCCGTCTGCTCTGGCTTTGGCAGAGATGCATAGTACACGCAGTTTATTTTACTATGACATGGTGACAAAATAGAACTTTATTTATGTGAAGCTGGTTAAAAATGCCCTGACCAAAAAACATGACACCAGTTAAGGAAATCTAATAAAACCTCTCGTAGAAATGGTGTAAAGTATAGAGTTTTATTTGGAACTTAATGAGGTTAGTAATGCATACTGTACCTTACTGTGTATACCAAATAACATCAGGCCAATGTGGTGGAATGTTTTTTCTAAAAAGCAGCCCAATCTCTGTTAATTTAATCAGCCATTCTTAGCTCCCTAGCATTTGCTCATTCATTCATTCGTTTATTTTTTTTGACAAAGAGAGTATTTATCACATATCTACTTTAAATAGCTGGAGAGAGATTAGGTTCATTTTTAGATACATGGAACTTCAAACCACTTTTATCAATATTTATCAGTTCCTCTAAGAATCTCTGCAGAATTAACTTACGAATAATGGGGATATCCATCAAAGCTGAAGGAAAAAAAACAGAACTGAAATTTGATTTTATGAAATGTTTGTGCTAAATGTTTTATCATCTAGCAATTATGTTTCAGTATGACAAAAAGAGATACATTCATTTATACATCATGTCATGTGGATTGGCCATGATGATAAAGAAGTATGTACAAATAATTCAAAAAAGCCCAAAATTCCTAGGTACTTCAAATTCATCTATCTATATGCACAGAAATGAATAAAACCAGAGCTTTTCGTCCAAATGCATATTGTTTTTCAATGGCACAACACTGAAAAGCTGATTGCAGATTCTAACGATGCTATTTGTTGCCAAAGTGTATTTGGTTCTTGTCTATGAGCATCATAGAAATGTTGTGGGTCACAAAAGAAAGTCCACCTCATTACTTTAGAGACACAGGTTACTCTTCCAAAGTCATTTTCCCCCTGCCCTTCTTTCCTCCACTTCCCATTTCTCTCTCATTCCTGGGCCTGGTGCAGCTGCTAGCAAAGATCCAGAGACTCAAGGAAGGGGCAATGCAAACCCAGGAAGACCCTAGGGAGGAAGAGCGGCCTTAATCAGCATTCACTGGGATGCCTGGGAAAAGCGTTCAGAGCTGATGCTAGGGTGAAACAGGCTGAATGCAGCTGGAACCCTGAGTTCCAGTCCTGGCTTGCCCATTAATGTGCTGTGTGACTTTGGATAAGGAAATTCAGCTCTCTGGATCTCAGTGTCCTCATCTATAACATAAGTGGGTTGGGAGTAGGACGGGGTACCTCAGTTGATCCCCATAGATCCTTTCTGCTTCACAGTTCTATGACTTTACAGTCCTCTCCTCAGACAAGCACCAAGTTAGAAAGCATCTTTCATCAACTGCAATGAAAATGACATAAAATCCCCACATTTGAGAAATCAATCACATTGCCTAAACAAAATTTGACTGATGAGGATTTCAAATGCAGCCGCTGGTGTAAATAGTGCATTGAAACAGCAATATTTTTGATGAGAAAAAAGTGGATGCTACATGATTTCCCTTTCAATGTAACTCACTATGTCCACTTAATAATTAGCATTAGAATAGGCTTCTGGCCAGGTCGTGAAAATAGTTTTATTTATACGCAACTTGTTCTTATAATGATATTCATTTATGTATGGTTTTGTTTAGTATCATTATTCTATATATCTTTTTCTCCTGGGTAACTCTAGGCAAAAGCCTAATCTTTCCAATGGAAATGATAAAATATAGCGATTAACTTGAACATATATAACATAGGACATGGCTGGGTTCACGTTAGCAGAAAATAAAGGAAGAATATTTCAGAAATTACTTTTTGAGGCTCATTTTTTTTTTAGCTCAACCATTAGGCCTTTATCATACACAAGAACAGCTACTGAGGATACTTTAAGCCATTTCTAGGTGTTTGCCTAGACAACCAAACTGCCAACAAGCCTGCCACTGCCTCCATCATCCCATAATGCCTAACTGCCTATGAACCAAAGAGCACAAATAGGTAATCATACTCAACACCCTGGGCCCTCCTAAGACAGACAAGATTCACACAGAAACATGGACAACTACAGCTCCAGCAACATTCATTTCCAAGTTTTGTCCCATGTAATTGGCATTTATTTCACATTATAAAAAGTAAAGTGAGTCTGAACAAGCCATTTAGAAAATTGTCCTGTTAAGAATCTCAAAGATTAAACTCCTTTGAAGTTATCCTGCAGGTATGTGTTTCATCATGGTTCTTTACACAATGAATACCAAGCACTAGTCAGAGACAAGCTTCCCAACTTCACAGAGATATTAAAAGTTATTAACTCTTCCTTGTGGAAACTAGCCTTGTCCCCAGGTGTTGAGGCCTTACCCAGATATGGGAGACTGGCAATCTCCTCCCACAGAACACTGGCTCACATACATGTGTGTAGAGATGTACACATAAGCACACGTGCACACACACACACACACACACACACACACACACACACACATGCAACAGAGCCAGAAGGGAGGGGGACACAGAGCAAGGCCACTTGGCTGTTAAAAACTTACATGAGGCAGCCAAAAGATGAATCAAAACAGAGTGGACAGAACCAGGCCTGCCTGAAGAGAGCCTCCAGAAACAAGACCACACTCTAAAACTGTATTCTACAACCAGCTTCCTGGAAGATTAACACATTTCTGCAGGCCTGTTTGTTTAAGCTGTCTGGTGAGACTGTGCATATTGATCTCACGAGCTCCTAGCCTTCTAGTTGTCCAGTAAATAAATGGTTCCACCCTATTCAAGCATGGAAGGAGGAAAACACTGGCGTGTGCTTCTCGTGGTTGCCTTCACTATCAGTGCAAATGTCTTATGGAGGAGTACACAGTATGTGGCATGAATTCAAGGCTCATTTTGCTTTCAGTGGGTGTCGCTGCCATAATGGATTTGTCCCATGTTTCCATGACACACTGACACACTGCTCCCTTCTCTGCCTGCCCACAGCTCTCCTTCCTTCATCCACTCTACTAGGATCCCTATGATGCAGTGAAGGAAAATGGGGTTGCCTGCTTTGACTGTTAGATCCCCATTAATTTTTATCTGATCTTACTCACTCAAATCAGGACAGGCTCCTATCTACTGTTTCTAAAAACAAACCCCAGGAAATGTCTTTAAACATTCTAATCCCCAGTACTCTCCCACTGACTGCAGGTGGAGGAGGTGCTGCTTCACCTGCTTTTACAACCTGAGAAATAAAATCCGCAAACCTGAGCATGCCCAGTCCTTGCCCACATTTTCCAGGGCCTGAGGGTTCCTAGAGAGGGTAGGCTCTTCACAAAGCCAAAGAAATGGGGAAGAAAGGGCACTGGTCTCATGTCACTAAGGGGTCTGAGACACCAAAGGGAAAAAATGAAAGGAAGAAAAGGCAACCCGGTTTTTTGCTCATTTTGTTTTCATATCTCTGAATTTCCTGAATCTAGATTCCACAATGTAGACCACAATTCCTCTGCCAGTTCCCGGTAAACAGACCAACACATGTTGGCTGTTCCCATGCTTTTTTGTAATAATATTATCAGCAATCAAAAAGTGGCTCAAACATCTATCTTCTCCTGGAATATTAAGAAAAGAGTTAAGACAGAATATTGAAATAAGGATCACTGGACTTGGAGCCAGAAGAAACAAGCTGGAGTCCTCCTTCTGCTTCTTGCTGATCATATAATGTCCAGCATGTAATGATCATATAATGTCTGCCTGTTAGATCCCCCATCTGTCCAATTAGGACAAGAATACACTTTCTGCTTCTCTGTAGGACTGTTCCCCATAAAATGAGATGAGGTGGGCATGAAACCCACAAAAGCCTACAGTGCAAAGGTCCATGGATGTATCTTTTTGTTTTTTAGTTTAGAAGGAAAAACTGTAATCTAATCATTTAGTACAAAACATGGTTGTCTATTCACCTATTTTCACTGGCCAATTTATGTTGTTCCTATTTTTAGTCACAGGAATCCTCTTCCTATCCAATTATACTTTTTTTCATTAGCTTGACCACTAAAACACACATAGACATGTGTTTGTGACTGAGAAAATTATCTGGAATTCCTAAGATAACAATGGCGAATATCTCAGGACTGAGAAAATTTGCTTTCATAAAACTGAGAACTAGGATTTCTAAATTTGGGGTTAGTGGTGAGGGGTGGCAAGAACTGAGGGAGGTAAGTAAGAGATAATACTAGATAGATGCCTATGTTTTTCAAATCATAGTAAGATTTGCATGTAATAATTCTTTATATTTCTCAAGGACGCCTTTTTCATATAAATGTCCTATCTTATAATACAAACTCTGTGCTGACACCATTCTCTTGCCATCCCTTTTCTTTTGTAATTTACCCTCCTTTCCCCAACCTGCCACCTCAGTCCTTCCCCTGCCCCGCCTTCTGCCTAAAGGTGGTCTCATTGTTATTCTCTGGCCAGTACCTTTATGGCAAATCCCTCTAAAGCAAGAAATGTAAAGCTGTGGCCTGTAGTTCCATGCACAGCCCTACTCAGCAGCACCAAACACAGTTATAGCCAAAACAAAAAAGAAAGTCCAAGGGAACACCTATCTAAACAGTAGTGGTGAGTCCACTCTCCAAGCCACCCCAAACATGGTGCCACTCTCATTATATGGAACTTCTGCTTTTTGCCAATAATCAGAAATAGGAAAGTGCACACAGTATGCACAATGACCTAATTGCTCATATGGAATTCAACAGCAGTCATGCTGTCCCCACTGTAAAAGATCTAGTTCTCCAATTAATCACAATCTGTTACGATGAGTGAGGAGGTTTGAGGTGTTGGTTCTCAAACTTTCATCTACAGAATGATGTGAGTGAGCTGGCAAAAACCCACACCTGGATACCACAATCAATTAAAAAAGCCCACCCCCAGAGCATCTGATTCTGAAAGTCTGGGGTAAAACTTAGGTATCTATAGCTTTAGCAAGCCTTCCGCACGTGTTTTCGTTTTTTGGTTTTTTTTTTTGAGACGGAGCCTCGCTCTGTCGCCCAGGCTGGAGTGCAGTGGCACAACCTCGGCTCACTGCAAGCTCTGCCTTCCGGGTTCACGCCATTCTCCTGCCTCACCCTCCCGAGTAGCTGGGACTACAGGTGCCTGCCACCGCGCCCAGCTAATTTTTTGTATTTTTAGTAGAGATGGGATTTCACCGCCGTACGTGTTTTTAATGAAGGACATCCAAGGCCCACGTTTTCAAAAACAGTGCTCTGAGGCTTCGCGAGAAAGTGACCACTATTATACAAGACCTGGAAGACGCTTTAAAAAGTCATGGTCCTAAGAGTGACTTGTCACTTTGGCTCCAGGCCTGGTGCTGGCTCCCTTACTGTCCTTAGCCTCAGTCTTGTCCATTCCTCTCCCACCACCCATGCTCCATTGCTGGTGAGGGGTAGATGGCAACTGGGCTCTCCAGATAACACCCAAGGCTATGGTCTATGCTGGGGAAGAGCAAGGGAAATATAGGTCCTTTCAGAGTTATGAAACTCTTCAAGTGTCTTGCAAATGCCCTTTGCACATGAAAGTAGAGAGGCATACCCCTCCCTAATCCTGGGGAGGTAAGTATTCTCTGATTCCTAAAATCCTCCAGGAGCTAGAGCAGTTGTGAGAGCTATCTCCAGGACAGATGAGTCCCTCCTGTCTGTATGTCTGAAAACATAATTTCCCATAAAAACCATGATAGAAGAAGAAATAGAGCCCCAGGACAGCAATTAGGGGTGCCACTTCCTGGAAGTATTTCAGCTGCATTGCCACAGCTCCAGTCTGAGTTCTGCTCACCTTCTGTCTGGACAACTGCAGCGACTTCCAAGGTGGTTCTTTCCGAACCACTCATCCTTTCTCTAGCCTGCTATTAAATCATTTTCCTCACATATAAATTATTTTCATTAATATCTTTGTTTCTGTCTACCAGGTCCCATGCTATTCCTTGGTATAATGTTTTTAAATATCTTTAAAAAATTAGAGTATTTGAGGTTTACAACATGATGTTATGGGACACATACTGATGGTAAAATAGTTACTACGGTGAAGCAGATTAACATCTATCATCACACAGTTGCTTTTTTGTGTGAGACAAGAGCACCTACTTCTTTAACAAAAATCTCTGACACTATATAATTTTATGAACTTTATTCCTCATGTTGTACATTTGATCTCTAGATTTGTTCATCCTACATATCTGCTGTTTTATATCCTTTGATCTACATCTCCCCAGTCTCCTCATTTCCTCTCCCTGCCACCCCATAGCCCCACCCCTGGTAGCCACTGTTCCATTCTCTATCTCTCTTTTTTATTTTTCCAATATTTCACTTATGCAATACTCTTCTTTCTGTGTCTGGCTTATTTCGCTTAGCATAATGTCCTATAGATCCATCCATAAAAATTGTGTTTTTAAAAACACAATCAAACTGCATCAAATTTAAATATGTTGCTAGAGTATCTGGAAAAATAGCCAGAAAGGATAATAATTTATGTTTTATTCAGAAAGTAATCTAGAAATTATTCACCAGTTTGATTCAAGATAATAAAATACCGTGTAACCAGCCATTCTTTCTTGCCTTTAAGGATAACAGTCTCTTTTAGGGGTTAGACATACCAAACACATGAAATTCATTTTTAATAATTTATAATTTTACTTCTTTCCTTTACTCTAGAATTTGAGGTAGAGATAGTAGGTATGTTGTTTTGACTAAGCCAGAAATTTTCTTTTTGGTAGTGGGTTAGAACCCTTTGTATGCATAGCAGTATTTTTAGTTTTTGGCAGAAAAGTTATTGTGAGGCCTAAGTTGGCAGTCTTTGAGTTTTTATTTTATTATTCCATATTTTTTTGAGTCATTAAAGAGGTTGAAAGTCAAAATGTTCCAGAAATATTTTTCACTTTCCTTTGGTTACAAAATAGGACCCCCTTTCCACAAAAGCTTAGTACATATCCCCCCATAGTATATTAAAGAGGTTAAAGAAACGATAAGTGAAAAAGCCATTAAGCTTATTGTATTTTTTAAATTTCCCCCCTTTTCCTGTTTTATTCCCCAAAGTCATGCAAAAATGCTGCTTAGATCATGTGAACAGAGAATATAAAATGGCCCTCCCCAGATTATAGTGATTCTGAACAGCATGTTAGCAAAGAAGGTATTTATGGCTGACAGAGTAATGGGAGAATTTATATTTTAAAATAATAGATTATTCATGCAGGCACCATAATAGTGCTATCTGCCATTAGCACAAAGAAATGCAAGACCATGCATGGGGTTATGATCAAAACAGACAGTTCAACCAACCTACATGGCCACAGAGGTTATTCCACCTGGTATTCTGAACCTTCTCAGTAGAAGGAACATTTTGATGTTTTGCTAGTGGAACACGGGGCCGCTACAACCTTTAACCCTATCTGCAACATGAGCTGCCGAAGATTCATGCAGAGAAGTGCATCTATCCTTACTTAGCGCCAGGCCAGGCTTGCTCCGACTTCGCAAGCCTGCTCAACGAGTGCCAGGAGTACCCAGTGACCCCTCGTTACCCTGCGCAACCCAGAGGGATCATGGCTAGAACATCACTGTTTTTGTTTGTGAAGGAAGTTGCTAACTGAAGTGGAAGGATGCTCAAAGTGCTCGGTAAAGAATGGTTCTTCCTGTCTACTAAAATTGCTGCTTTCACAGTTCCACGATATTCTTCTCCATCTCTCCCTTGAAACCTTTTTTTTTGAAATTGTATGTTTGCTTATTTGCAAAGGCTACTTAGCGCCTTCATTTTCCAAGATTTCTTATGCACATATATAATTTCCCAGTCTGAATCCATGAAAAACCAAAATGGGTAAATATATTTTTAAATGAATATAGTTTTATTACTTTCTCATAAATACTAATTATCATGGATTCAAACCAAATACTAACAAAATGTTTCTAAGTATATGCATCCTGATTTATGAATCAATAGCATATTTGTAATTGGCACACTGATTGTAAGCCAACACAGATGAAAAGTTTGGCAAACTTTCTACACAGTGAGATAATAATTTTTCTCTATATTTGTGTTATTTCATTTGCTCAGCAAACCCTTTTTGTATAGACTCAACAAAGTGGATCCCTCATGTATGTTAACAAATTCTTAATTTAATATGGGTCTACATGACCATTCTCTGGGCCACAGCCATTGCAGAATGCCTACTTCAAGTGTTAATCTCCAGGGTGGAACAGTCAAACTATGGAATCAGGAGAGGCTTTGTAACAACATTACAAACTTGGTTTGAACAAGTTACTTATATCCATGAGAAGCAGTTTCTTCAGTTATAAAACAGGAAGAATAATCCTGGGAATAACACACTAATGTGCGTAAAGTTCTTAAAGATCCTCTTGTGAGAGTGCAATAAAAGGACAAAGTAATATTATTGGTACCTTGTCAACACTCAAACAATACATTTAGGTATTAAGCAGTGACTATAAATATAAGTAGAATCAGGGCCTGCAGTATAATCACATAATCCCAGTCCGTGTACTCACCCAGAACTATAATTTAGTTACACATTCCAAGAAGACAAATGATTCAACATGAACGCATCTATTCAACTTTATTATATCAGAATTACAAACTCGCTTGTGATGGGGAGGGTAACAATCTTCCTATATTTGTCTCACCAATTCAGTTCTGACTTGTTTTATTAATTTAGTTTTTTTTCCCTCTATATGGATTTTTATATAAATAGATGATAAACTTTTCTAAATTAACTGAAGGAATGGTTTGGTTGGACTCTGACTTTGCCTTTAAATTTTCTATTCCATGTTCAATTTTAAAGGTTTGTGGTTACTTTTAAAGAATCTGGACCCATTGTCTAACTGACATATTAATTTCATTCTTTTTGTAAATATCTGTTAACTTACCTTCCCTTTTAGAATCCCCAGAATTGATCAAATTGAAGGCAAACTAAAAATGGTCCCTTTTGATCCTGACCTACAGAGTAGACTTATGCTTTAAGCAAACAACATCACATTTCATATCATAATCACCATGACTTTCCACATAAAAATAATAAATATGCAATTCCACAAGTACATCAATCTTTCACACTCCACTAAATTTAAAGTCTTGGTTTATGTTTTTTAATAAGTCTCTCAATCATATCAGTGAATCTTGGTTATAATTTTTGATAAAATTATGATTCAGATTTTTATTACTTTAAAGAATTTTCAAAAGAAACTTAAATTTCTTCATGTTTAACAAAATAGATCTCATGAGATTGTGATATTTGCAGACAATGTTATAGTTTCTAACATTCCAATGCTTGAATAGTCTCATTTTGTTTTTGGCATATAAATACACACAAACCATGTAGACATACTTTCCAAATAAGAACTATAGCATTCTTATTAATTCCTATTAGAAATAAAAGTAGAATATTCTGGAGTGAGTTCAATATTTCTTGGAGAATACTAGGCCAGAAATATTTTCTTTCCAGGTTTATTCTCCACTCTCTCATCCTAATAGATTCTCATTAAGTTATGACAAAGAGATTAAAAAATAAATCACAGTCCATAAGAGAGCCCTAATCATCTGAGAACAGTTTGTGAATATACTTTGGTTTGAGATAAGAGCTTCATGGTTAATTGTACATTTAAAAATAACTAAAAGAGTATAATTTGATTGCTTGTAACACAAAGAATAAATGCTTGAGGGGATGAATATCCAATTGCCCATGATGTGATTATTACATATTACATGCATGTACCAAAATATCTCATGTACCCCATAAATATATACAGCTACTATGTACCTACAAAATTAAAAGTTTTTAAAAATTAAGGAATTAAACTCTTAAACAAACAAAAAAATGCTACATGGAACGTAAGAAACACACAGTGGAAATTCGCTAGCACTGTCCACCTGAGGTATCCCAGTCACAGCCATGACCAACAGCAAAATTTCCATTTCCAAGGTAGCTTCTCTCTTCCCTCTGCTCTTCTAATACATGTGCTATCCCCAAAGAAGTAGTCCAAGAAAGTGTCCCCTAAAAAGGTGTGTTGTGGGGAGTTGCCATCAACACAGTGGTCTGTTACTCCATAGCCATCCTAACAACTCCCTACCAGATGGTCCATAGAGAAAGGACCTCCATGCAATGTGAAGGCAAATTAGAGGAAATTCTTGAGGTGATCAGTGGAATTGTTTAGAGTCTTTTTTATCTACTCAACTCAGACACCTCAGAGAAGAGCCCTTGTGTGTCCTGGAGTGGACTCAGCACATCCTGATCTAAAGTCCCATTTGATCAGGAAATCAGCATCACGATCTTATCATTTCCCAAAGACCATCCCTGATTTTCTAATAGGAAATGTCACTGCTTCTTTCCCTATCTACACACTGTACTCTCACCTCCCAGGTCACTAAGTCTGCTCCTCTGCGACATTCCCATCGAATAACAACTGTTATCTGCCCTGTGCAAGGGTTTCTTGAACTCCGCAGTCTAAAGAAAAGTTAGCAAATTGTGGCAGTAGAATTCTTTCTTCTATTGAAATTAAAGCATTCTAAAACAAATGTTTCTACATGGAGCCCTTCTGGTTGGGGAACTTGGGGAACCAGAACTTTATCCCTTGAGTTCCTTCTTTCTTGACACCTCATTTAGCAGCCCCCGAAGGGATTCTACAGGGAATGAAAAATCTCTGAATTAGGCAGCAAAAGGAAACTTCCATGTGAACTTTTATTTCTCTATAAAGAAATATAGGTATACTTTATTTCTCTATATAGAAATATATATATGTATATCCCCTTAGCTCCATCTAAATATGACAGTCAACAAAATGTACCTGCCGCCACAACCAACTCTTGTATGAGAACTTGATTTTTCCTCCTTTTGAATGGTGAATTAATTTTAGAATGAAATCACAAGATTTATGGGTTGTAGGTCTACATACATCACTACTAACTGAAGATCAATGGTATTTCTGTCTTTCATGATGCCACAGACCTGATCCTCTAGAAGTGGGGAGAAACAGACCTTCCTCGCCTTCATATTTGTGGTTCTACCACATTCCCACAAGTGAGTACTTTCTTCTCTGGTCTTTACCTGATGTCCCCTATTTATATGATAAGCCTCAGGAGGCCAGGGATCTTGCCTATGTTAGTCATCTCTACCAAACACCAAAAGACTCTACTAACCATACATGAGCACTTAGTAACCAGTGCTTGATGGAGTCAATAGAGAAGAACTTTATTAGAAGTATGTATAGTCATTTGACCTGAAAATGCTGAGTTTTTGTGCACCTGTTAATTATGAAAAACTTTTCCCCACACCCAAAACGCGGGCTTGCTAAGCAGATGATGCTTGTTACTAAGCAAGCAACTCAGCCTTGCTCCTAAAAGCACCTCACACTATTAGCCTTGTATCTTTATGCCTGTGAAAAGCATACAGTAACAAGCTTCTACTTTCCTAAGGATATACAAATCAAATGTCAACCGAATCCAGCAGTAACAAATGTGCATTGGGTAGTGGGTACTGGAGGTACAATGATGAAGATTGACAGCACACTCCCTGCCTGTGTGGAGACTGCAGCTGAGGCAGGGAAGATGGACATTGCACATGGTGCCACATGCACTTGTGTGTGTGTGTGTGTCTGTGTGTGTGCGTGTGGGTGTAATACAATCCTCAATAATGCAGAATGTGAAAAAGACATCCATCAAATGGTCACCCAAACGAGTGCCACAAAGGAAGGACACCGTCCTATAAGCACCTCAACTTAAGAGCTCTAACCTAAGCAAGAAGGTTGGGTTACAGGCTGAGACTAGAAAGAGAGCAGCAGTTAAGAAAGCAAAGCAAACAGGGAAGAGCACACGTAGTGGAGGTAACAGCATGTACAAAAGTGCTAGTAGAAGAGAGCTTGGCAAATACCAGAAGCTAAGAGAGGGCCAGTGAGGAATAGTTTCTTAACGTGAGGTAAAGTGAAAATGTTTCTGAAAGCGAAAAAGATCAAGCAAACTCTAAAGTCACTCCTGTTATTGGTCCACATGCAACCTGATTCTTTTCCCTCATAGCCTCTTCCCCTGGAACGACAGCACAGCTAAGCCCCTCTACTGAGAGTGGGAGGTCCTGCTGATTGACAAGAAGTCACTGGTGAGTCACAGTCAGTCATTCCTGACAAGCCCGGCTTATTATTAAATGTAGTGGAGCAGTGAATTCAATGGTTAGAAATGGAATGGAGAGAGCCTGAGAAAGGCAGTGAGGCAGCCTAGAGGAAAGCCACCTCCATGGAACAGGAAGTCTTTTCTCTTTTCAGAGCATCATCCATCATGCTGGGGAAACGGCAGGAACGTAACCTACTACTTCTTAATAGGCTTCTGCACAGAGAGTGGCTTTGAAGCAGCAGCTGCCCACAGTAAATTTCACTGACCCTTAGAGCCTTTCTCCAAGTTTTCCAACTGTTTTGTCTCCTGAGCTGCAGCTCAGCGTTGGGTCCAAGTTACAGCACCTGACTAAACTAAGGAGCCTCCCCGGTATGAGAATGGAAAGCGTTCAGCGATGTTGTCTTTTCTGTGCTACCCCAACAGTGAGACATGATGCCATTCCATCTGGCCATAAAGTGTATTCTTTCCCAGGGAGAAGAGGCTCAGCAAGGGACTTTTATTTTAAGGTCTGGTATTTTACTGTACACATATCAAAGAAAATAAAGTGAAATACAGTACAATCCCAAGATAATGCAGCCAAGGGGTCAAGTCTTCTCAATAAAGCAGATTTAATAAGTCTACTAAGGCCAAAGGCCTTTTGAGTTCATTCAGGCTTTAATTTTTTAATTATGAAGTTGCGGAGACATAAAAATCCAAAGATGATGTCAGAAATAAGCACTTTGGAAATTAATATATCGGAAAATTCAGCTTTTTCCTCTTCTGCATAATTTTCATAACAATCCCAATTTTAGGAAATATAATTCTTATGTACAAAACAGACAAAAATTAATGAAATAAATAAATATGTTGTCTTTGATGCCCACCAAAGTTGATGTTCCAGACCCCCTGTTAATAGAGCTTGTGTGCTGAGCTGCTTTTCCAAGAGCGGGAACAGATGTGCTTAGCTCTTAGATCCTGTCTTCGAGCCTGGTCCTCCCATGGACTGTGGAAGACCTTCGTGAAAGAGGGGCTGTGATTACAGGCCACAGTAAATCTACCTGACACATGAAGGCCTGAAATCATACTCTGACTTTTGCTGTCAACTGAGCTGAGTATTAGGGCCCAAGGAACTCCTAGAAACTCGGTTTTCAAAAAACAAAAATTTTTTTAGAGACAGGGTCTTACCCGGTGGCCCAGGCTGGAGTGCAGTGGTGCAATCATAGAGCACTATAGCTTCCAACTCCTAGGCTTAAATGATCCTCCCGCCTCAGCCTGTTTGGGAGCTGGGACAACAGGCATGCACCACCACACCTGGCTAATTAAAAAAAAAAAATTTATGGAGATGGGGTCTCGGTACGTTATCTATACTGGTCCCAAACTCTTGGGCTCAGGCCATCCTACCTCCTTGGCCTCCCAAAATGTTGAGATTAAAGGCATGAGCCGCTGCACCCAGCCAGACACTTACTTTTATACTTCAATTCTTCCAGCCCAAGCAGGGGATCGAGGCAGATGCAAGCAGGAGGGTTCTGGTGGCTCAGGTTTTGAGTCCTGCTCTCCCAGGTAAAATGCCTCTCAGGTGCCTTAGAGCCTCAGGATAGGGGAAGAGCAGAAAGGGAAGCAAGGCTCCAGATTCCATTGTCTCTGACTATCTTAAACAAAGACCCAGATAAATTCCTATAAAGTTGTTACAATTGAGCATTTTCCTAATGAAACCATCTCCTTTGGATTCTACTCACTTTCCTTAGACATGAAAGTCTCAGAAGAAAAAAACAAACAATATATCAGTGATTTTTTAATTATGAAGAGAAAATTTAAAAATATAGCTAGCTCTCAGTCAGGATTGTGATCACCGCCATAATAATGATTATCTGTGACCATCAGTTGAACAAAGATCATAGGCTGGGCACTTTTCATCCCTTCTCTCCTTGAGGTCTGGAATCCTGTGGTTGTCCAGGATGGTATAACCAGAATAGGTGCTCAAGAAACATTTGCTGATGGAATCGTGAATGAATAGATGAGCCTAAGAGCAAAATTCACTAACATACATGGAAGTTACTGAGTCAGGGTCATGTCATGCATGTATACACCTTTAGGCCAACTTCAAAGTAAAGGAAATATCCAATTAATTTTATATTTTAATTACTAGTATAATAAATCTAACTAATTATGAACTAATATGAAACAATAACTAGAGGGAATTAAGTCAACAATTACCAGCAATGATGAAAGAATGGCATTACTAATTACCTCTCTATCCCCATGGGCTGGGTCAAAAGTAAAATAACAAGCCAGGTTAGGGTGAACAAAAATCCAGCTGCACACCGATCCTGAGCACTAGCATTAAGTTCTAAGATTCAAGACTGTTCCCATTCCATGCCTGCATAGGTCGAGCCATGTGAAATTGCTGTTTGTGTTAAAATACTCAAACATCTTTAGTTTTATATGGCTTGATCTAATATTTTCATGTAGGTGTCCTTCTCCTGAACTACAAGTAAATGTAAGAAATTACTATAGGTTAGGAATATTACTAATATTTCATTCTTTGAAAACCTTTTAGAAATTTTGTTAAAATTTCTAGCCTCTTTACATTTATAGAGTCTATGTTTATATATTCATTTGTACAAAATATTCACACCTTGAATATACTGAATCAATCCCTGCTCATAGGGACTCAAAGATTTCTTAGCAGAGGAGATAAATAAGCAAATAAAGCTCTTCAAAATGTTTACAGTTCAGGTAAACATGTGAGGTCATTAGGTGAGGCAAACTGAAATGAACTTTCCGAGTCCCTTCAGTATTTGTGATACAGGAGTTAAAATGAAATTATTTAGGCAGATACTGAGGGGTAAGGAAGTCCTTGGTAAGGTTCTCTTTTTAATGAAAAGCAGCCCCAACATCATTTTCTTTTCTAACAAAGAGCAGCCTGTAGAATTGAGCTGCAGACATAGACAAACAAGCTAGAAGCTTGCACAGGTGAATGCCAGCAGTTGTGCCAATAGGAAAAAGCTACCTGGAAACAGGCATGTTCTAACTGGTGGCTCCATCTTCTCTTTTCTTTGCCAGCCATGTGTACAGTAGGGAGCAGACAAGATGGCGCTGGCCAAGTAGAAAGCCCATTTGCATAATAAGATTAGGGTGGGGTGACCAGCCTTTCCTGCGTCCTATGTAAATATCAGACCTGGTCAAGCCAATCTGCGGGCCCTAGATAAACCAGACACCACCTCCTCAAGCCTCCCTATAAAATCTGCTATGGTCCGCTGCTCCCTTTCGGGCACCTCTCTCTCAAAAAGGAGAAAGAGAGAGAGAGCTGCTCTCCTCTCTCCTTTCTTCTGCCTATTAAACTTTCCACTCCTTAACCCACCCACATGTGTCCATGTCCTAATCTTCTTGGCGCCACACACGAACCTCGGGTATTTACCCCAGACAATGATGCCGCTTCATATGCCCATTAATGTAGAAGTGGTAATAGGCTTCTGAGAGATTATTTCCTACTTTCTTCCTCAAAGTACAAGTACTAGTTGGGAAAGGCAAGTCCTGAGTCTTGGACTATTATAGCAAAAGTAAAGAAATACTGGCTGTAAATATTGTGTTAAGAAGAGGACACAAATACTATTGGGGATTACTTTTTAATTGTGTGTATATATACACACACATATATACAGTTATGTGCTAAATAAGGATGTTTTGGTCAATGGCAGATTATATGTATGATAATGGTCCCGTAAGATTATAACATATTTTTATTGTACCTTTTCTAGGTTTAGATATTTTTGGATACACACATACATACCATTGTGTTACAGTTGCCTACAGTATTCAGTGCAGTACCATGCTGTACAGGTTTGTAGCCTAGGAGCAATAGGTTATAGCATATAGTCTAGGTGTGTAGTAAACTATCCCATTTAGGTTTGTGTAAGTACCCTCTATGATGTGTGTATAAGGACAAAAGCACCTAATGAAGCACTTCTCAGAATGTATTCCCATCATTAAGCGATTCATGACTATATTTCAATACATACATATTTACCAATCATCAAGGATGTATAAATATGCTGGATACCAAGGAAAATATAAGAATAATTAAGGCCATGGTCATCCCTTTCATAGATCTTAAATTCTAGCCACAAAGAGGGAAGTAAACATAACGAACTTTAGTGGGAGGCAAAGGTTAACAGGCCAGGAAAGAAAATCAAGTAAACTGAACACTGGCCAGCAGGCTTAGGGGACAAGGCAGCAGATTCAAGGATGGCCTTACAGAGAAATGGTATCTGAGAAGGCCATGACCAGTACCCTGGCAGGTAGTAATTGACGAGGGAGGTTTAGAGAATTCAAAGCAAAGGAACATGAGAAAAAGCAATAGAGACCATAAAGGCAAAGCAAGATCAGAGAAATCCAAAAGCCTGGAGTATATAGGGTATAGAGAGTGGCATGGAGGGAAGAATAGAAGAATAAATTAGAGTTAGAATGTGGAACTTTTTTGTTTGTTTGGGTTTTTTGTTGTTTGTTTGTTTTGAGACAAAGACAAGGTCTCTCTCATGCAGGCTGGAGTATACTGGCACAATCATGGCTCACTGCAGCCTTAAACTCCTGGGCTCAAGTGATCCTCCCATCTTAACCTCCCAAGTAGCTGGGACTACAGGAACACATCACTATGCCTGGCTAATTTTTATTTTTATTTATTTATTTATTTTATTTTATTTTATTTTATTTTATTTTATTTTAGTAGAAATAGGGTCTTGCTATGTTTTCCAGGCTTGCAAGATCTTAATCATGAAGGAAAGAGTCAAATTTATTCAGTAGGCAGTAGAGAGGCACTAAAGGATTTAGGGCAGAAATAAGTGTTAGAGCCACATTTTAGAAAAATCTGGCAGTGTATGTAAGACAGATAGGAATGGCAGGAAGCAGAGAAGCTGGAGGTGGCAACTGTAGTAGGGGGATGGCAATGGTGGGGAGACAAGTGATGTCAGGAACAGAGGAGAAAAGGGGTGAACAACTGTAGTGACATGAACACGGAACTGAGCAAAGGCACGTGAGAAACATAGCGGAGGCTGCCTCCGTGGGGTGTGGTGGCCAGTTACATATGGAGCAAGGAGAAGCCCTAAGGTAAAGAAAACAGAAAAGTTGCAGCTAGGATGACTGTCTGCTTCCATTACCAGAAAGAGAGACATGATGAATTTATTGCATTAGAGGGACACCGATGGAAAGGTGTTCAGCAGGGAATGAGGAAGACAGATTTGAGCTCAAGAGAGAGGCTGGGGCCTATTTTGGAGCCAATCTCCTAGAGTTGAAAAGCAAACACCTTACAGATTTAGAAAACATTATATAAGACAATAGGTTTTTCACTAGGACAATTAAAGTACAACAAATTCTCATACGTGGTTAAGTCAATCCAGTTAGGTTGTAAAATGAGTTTTAAAGATCTAAGGAATAAAAGGGAATGCAGAAATGAGCTGAAAGCTCACAGGAAAAGGGGGAAAGAAAACAGCAAGATAATTCATTTAAAGGATGAAAATTGGGAGCCTAACTGAGGCAGAATGAGAAGTAAGTGGGGCAAATTCAATTTTCAAATAAAAAAAATTGCAAGGACAAAGTCAAATGGGTTGCTATATTAAGAAGGAAGTCAGCTAAGAACGGCTATGACTCTGGGACAGCTCTATTTATTTTAGTGACTAAGGCTACATATGAGAGGGAAAAAAAAGAGCAACATTTTAATAAAAGGATTTGACAAACTCCAAAAGAATTGAGTAGAAGTGAAATAAAAGGACACTGGGATGGGCTCACCAGAAATATTTGTTTGAAAGATGGAAGGAGATTTGTTTTTCCAGTGTTACATAAACTAATCACCAGTATTTAAAGTTTACTGACTCTCAGTAATCCCAACTTCTAGAATGACTTAGATGTTAACAGACATGCTCCAGCATTGTTTCCACACAAAATCAGTGACTGCCTTTTCTTGTTAGAAATATGACTCATGCTTTCTCTTAAATATCCTCTCTACTCCTTCATTTCTATTTGCTGATATAATTCTGAAAGGGTGGTGTGTACACATACCTTCCTTTTGGCAAGTCTTCTACATTCAAGAACTTGCCATAAGAAACAGTAGGTACACATATTATATCTTTTTTCCCTAATCACTTTAGGTGGCTACCAAATATTCTGAAAACTCATATTTTCTGAGGCACCAAATACTTTGCTATGAAAACTTACTTGCCCTAGAAAATTGGGCCATTTTGAAATCCAATTTGGCAAGAATATAAACAGACATCAGTAGTTGCATGAAATTCAAAGGAAATAGAGATTCTGCACCTTGGGCATCTTTGATAATTACTATATTATGTTGAAGTTACAAGTATAAACCTGGAAATTTTTGAGCCAAAAAGCTATAATATATATGTCAAGTAAAACACAAGAAAACAAAAAGTTCAAGAACACTGAGTATAGTTTTCTAGGAATACAAAAAATTCATCCAGAGCCTGAATATATAAAACAAGAAACCAAGTAGTACAATAAAAGGCAATATACTTGGACCTCAGATGAGAAAGAAGAGATGGTAACAGTGCCTGACATTTCAGCTAGGAAATGCTCAAGCTGGGTCCTCTGACTCCTTGACCTATGAATGATGTGATGGCAATGATGATGGTGATGAACAAGAGGATGATGACTTCCATTTTTAAAGCACTCAGTAGGCACACATTATCTCATTTAATCCCCACAACAATCACATGAGGAAAGTATTATTCTCATTTCACAGATAAAGGAAATTGAAGCTTCCTGGAACCCTTGATTGACAGGATATACAAGACTACGCAGAAGAAGGAAAGACATATATAAAGAATTTAACTGATGATGTCAAAGAAGAAACACCTACAGAAGGAAGATGCCAGAGGGTGTGGAAGCACTGTGGATGACCAAAGGTTACCTATAATGAAACAGTCATTGATGGGCGTTTGAGCTGGTTTCACCAGGATCTCATAAATCACCACTAAAGAACTTACTCATATAATCAAATACCTCCTGTACCCCAATAACTTATGGAAAGATAAAATAATAATTGTAAAAAGTCATTGGAATCTAATATAAACCAAGGAAAAATGTAAGAAAGATTTTTTTTTCTTCTAACAGGCTACTACTCCGTCTAGAAAATAACACTGAAGTGGACATTTCATTTGCATATTTGCACTGTTTGTAAAGATAAGTTGTTCGATGAGTACAAATCTTACAGAATACATACATTAAAGTTTTATAAATCCAATGGTTAAAATGTAATTTTAAGATGGTCTTGTCTGGCAGAGGAATCACCTAGAAAAAGGTTGGTGGTTCAGCTATTTCCAAGATAATCTTGTGTAGTCCATCACACACACATAGCCAGTGTCTACTTCCTGATGTGAGGCAGGTTACTGTCTCCTCTTTGGCAACTCTAATGGTGATCCCAAGTGACAAATGGTAGGAAACCTGAGGACCATAGTTGACATCAGTGAGGTGATGGAGCAACAGTCACAGGAGGAAGAATCAAAGTTTAAGACACCCTGCAGAAGTAGAGTCACAGGAAGAAACAAACTAAAAATGAGCATTGCAGAGAAAACATCTGTAAGCAGTGCTACTGTTGCGGGAGGCCGACTCTCAGGCAGTCGCTTGCCAGGCAGTGTCAATGTAAACCAACACCTCAGACATGGGAATTTTTGCTTCAGATCAAAAGGACAGCAGCAATGCCATCTGCTGTTTGCTTAGAAAAATGGTAAGAGCAGATGTTCCCATGTGTTGACCTGCCATCCCTTGACTAAGAGGCCACTTGAAAAATAATCATGAAATAGCACAGGAGAAACATCTGCACAGTGTACAGCAGACCACCAATCATGCAGCATAGGAGAGAAGGAACCTGCAGTGTACCCATGAAATAACGGTAGGCAGGTCCCCAACAAGTGGTGGGGGCTCCTCATGCATACACGTTATAGGAGAACAAATAAGGCAAGATCAGTACTGGGCAAGGGGCAGTCAAAATGTTGTCTGTGGACCTGAGTAATTTCAGTGGACAAACCCTAACTTCTTTCAAATATCGTCAAAGGCTCAGAGCTTCACATTTACTTCTCAGACTTCTCTCTATTGTTGCCTATGATATAATTTGATTTTGTTGAGCCTACATTTTAGGCATCACTGAAATTAGATGATTAGCAGTTCCTTAAGAGCAAGCCATGGCCTGTAGATAAAAAAAAACAAAACAAAACAAATGCAAAGTGCCTGTGCAACGTGAGGTCAGGACATGGTGAGAGGATTTGCCTCTCACCTCTCTTAGTACCAGGAGCTCCAAGAGGACCTCACCCAAGCGGCAAGGCTGATGCAAGCCAGAATTCTTGGAAACTGCTGAGTCACTTGCCAACCACTGGCTGGGACAGCAGAAGCTTGACCTCGGAAGGAACCAAGTGTGTTTTAGGATTTGCACCTCAAGCATGCTCCTCTTGCTTTGCGGCCACAACTGCCACCCTATCTGAGTTCATCTTCTTGCTTTGAGAGCCTTGCTTGAAAAGTGCTAGTCATCTTGTCCTGCCACTTGGCTGGACACAAGTCCTTGGACCCCATTTCCCACCAGCTAATCATCAGTTCATCCACTCAACTAATTTTCTCAGCCCGAACACAGGTGTACTCAGGAGCAAATGCTATTCAGGAAATGCAGAATTTTTCAAAACCATAAGTTTTCTCTCTGTGGACATGCAGAACAAAACATTTGCATGCCCTGTATTTCCTCTTAAACATGTTGCATTTTTCTATTGAGGAGTTTGCTTTCAAGGCATTAATTTTTTTTCTAACTTGATCCAATTATTTATTCCATCCTCTTTAATTTATTTTTCTGATCTGGGGATCTATGGCCTAATCTATCCTCAATAGTTTTCGTTTTGTAATTATCGGGGGAAGGAGAAAGATTTGGCTCCTTTTTCTATGAACACTTCCTTCCCCTTCCTGCTATGAAGGAGACTTATTGCATTGACCAGAGAGGAGGACTCTGTCTCATATTCTTTGCTTAGAAGGCCCCCCTGTACATAGTAAATGCTTGTGCTTGAATAAATTAAAAAGGAATTTCAGGAGAGGTCTGATTGAAAATGTTTCCTATAACATAAAACCACCAGAAATAATACAGAATCTCTCTAAAAATGAAACACTAATGCTGGTGGAGGCCTAGCTCTGGAATCACTGCCATGGCCTCCTACCAAACTCCTGGGGAAACAGAATGGTTGGTTATAATTCTCTGTTACAGCAAGACAGCCTCAGGAGGAAGATGTCACCACACCATAATTTTCTACATGTTCTAATGCAAGGGGGGCCTTGTAAAAAAGTGTGTTTTCTTCTATCCTAGTAATTATATAACAGTATACGACACTATTATTTATATCACACATTACTGTCAAAAAGGGATAGAAAGAAGTAATGTATTACTTAATTTTCAAAGCTGAAAAAGATTTTATATCCTTCAAAGTTGTGTTCTTACTAGGACAAACACATACCATCAGCATTTTCTTTGCACGTGGAACTTTAGGAATTCCTCTTTGGGATATGCGCTCAGAGATTTTTCTTTCTCTCTTTTATTTCACACACTCCTCAGTGATTACAAAGCTTTTTTTTTTTTTTAAAAAAAAAAAAAGACAATTAGTTTGAACTTTGTAAATACTGAACTGTCATTTGGAGGCAACCATTGGCAATAACAAGATCAGGCTGGATACCACTTGGATAAAATCAAGATGTGATTATAAAGTGCTATTAATATATAAGTGATTAGTGATTTTCTTCTGTGACTCAAACTGGCTCTAAGGTACAACAACAATATTCTGAGAAGTGGCAGAACTGCTACAATAATTCTAAGGCAGCAATTTTGATGGATAATTCTTATCTATATACAGGCATACCTTGGAGATACTATGGGTTTGGTTCTAGACTACTACAATAAAGCGATTACTACAATAAGGTGAGTCACACAAATTTGTTGGTTTCCCAGTGCACATAAAAGTTATGTTTACACTATACTATAGTCTATTAAGTGTGTGATAGTGTTATGCCTAAAAAAATGATGTGCATATCTTAATTAAAAATATTTTATTGCTAACAAATGCTAACGAAGTAGGTACATGTTGCTAGGAAAATGGCACTGATAGACATGCTGGACACAGGGCTGCCACAAACCTTCAATTTGCTAAAAACTCAGTATCTGCAAAGCATGGCAAAGCAAAGTACAATAAAACGAGGTATGCCTGTACTTAATTCTATTTTATGATGATACTCCTGCCTCAAAATAGAGTATAAAATCTAATATAATATAAAACTTTACAATAATTAAATACTCACATAGTTTTAGTATGTTCTAAAATACTATAATTACTTAACTTGGAGGATTTTGTTTTGCATATTGTATACCATTTAGACTTGGTTACTCTCAAGTAGATTAGAAGTTAATGCCCTTTGAAGAGTCAGATGATCTCAGTACCTAAGCCATTCACCGACTCTAAATCAGGCACATTGCTAGGAGTGCTAATATCAACCCGCTGTTCTAAGTCTTCAAAAAAAGTTTACTGAGCTGGGCAACATAGCAATACCTTGTCTCTACTAAAAATACAAAAATTAGCCAGACGTGCTGCCACGCACCTGCAATCCCAGCTACTCAGGAGGCTGAGGTGGGAGGATCACCTGGGCCCAGAAGGTTGAGGCTGCAGTGAGCCGATATGGCACCACTGCACTCCAGCCTGGAAGACAGAGCAAGACCCTGTATCAAAAAAAACAGTTTACTGTAAGACAACAGTATGCTTTAACAGGTTAGACAGCATGATGCTGTTCCTTGTCAAACTCAAGAAATTTCCTGGTCCTTTGAGCTACTCAAACGAACTAGAAAATGGGGTCTTTGCCTTGATAGCTTATATTCCTATATTGAAAAACAAGTCAGTCAAAAATCAGTAAAAAATTAATATGGAAGACTGTGAGATAATCAAAATAACCAATTAAGGTAGTGTTTTTTTGGTTTTTTTTTTTACTGTTTTTGTTTGTTTGTTTGTTTGTTTTGAGATGAAGTCTTGCTCTGTCGCCCAGGCTGGAGTGCAGTGGCGTGATAGTGGCTCACTGCAGCCTCCGCCTCCTGGGTTCAAGCAATTCTCCTGCGTCAGCCTCCCAAGTAGCTGTGACTACCGGTGTGCGCTGCCACACCTGGCTAATTTTTGTATTTTTAGTAGAGACAGGGTTTTGCCATATTGGCCAGGCTGGTCTCG
The DNA here is from genome assembly GCF_000001405.40 of Homo sapiens. Taxonomy (NCBI): domain Eukaryota; kingdom Metazoa; phylum Chordata; class Mammalia; order Primates; family Hominidae; genus Homo; species Homo sapiens. The sequence goes on from NC_000014.9 coordinate 36,979,577, forward strand.
AACTACCGACCTTCAGTGATCCACCTATCTTGACCTCTCAAAGTGCAGGTATTACAGGCGCAAGCCACCATGCCCAGCCAAAGGTAGTATTTTTTAAACTTTGCTTACACTGTCTAAATATAAACAACTTTTTAACTGGTTACATAAATAGCAGATCATGAAGAAAAACCCGGACCCTGAAAACCCACCTTTAAAAACTTTGTGTGTAAATTAATCATGGTGTTTTCATCTTTGTTTCTGACTTTCTAAAGAAAGAGAAGTATCCTCTGCAGGGCAAAGGATCTGCAGAACTATAATCCAGCAATTTGTAAGACCACAGAGACTCAAGTTAAATAAAACATATTTTTTAAGCCACTGCCCATATAAAATCCTGAAGGGCAGGGACAGGATCCTAGTCCAGTGCCTAGTCCCCAGACCTAGTCCAGTGCTTCAATGATAGTAGTAGTTACCTATAGGGAAGACTTAAGGTCACTGACATATTGTTATTTATCCTCTGCTTACTTACGAAAGTACAGGCTGGGTGTACACAATGACAGTTAAAAAACTGTTGATGGGTTTCCCTTTGTGGGTAACCCGACCTTTCTCTCTGGCTGCCCTTAACATCTTTTCCTTCATTTCAACTTTGGTGAATCTGACAAGTATGTGTCTTGGAGTTGCCCTTCTCGAGGAGTATCTTTGTGGTGTTCTCTGTGTTTCCTGAATTTGAATGTTGGCCTGCCTTGCTAGGTTGGGGAAGTTATCCCAGATAATATCCTGAAGAGTGTTTTCCAACTTGGTTCCATTCTCCCTGTCACTTTCAGGTACACCAATCAGATGTAGATTTGGTCTTTACACATAGTCCCATATTTCTTGGAGGCTTTGTTCATTTCTTTTTACTTTTTTCTCTAAACTTCTCTTCTCGCTTCATTTCATTCATTTGATCTTCAATCACTGATACCCTTTCTTCCAGTTGATCGAATTGGCTACTGAAGCTTGTGCAAGTGTCACATAGTTCTCATGCCATGGTTATCAGCACTGTCAGGTCATTTAAGGTCTTCTCTATGCTGTTTACTCTAGTTAGCCATTCATCTCTTCTCTCAACTCATCAAACTCATTCTCTGTCCAGCTTTGTTCCATTGCTGGAGAGGAGCTGCATTCCTTTGGAGGAGAAGAGGCGCTCTGATTTAAGAAAACCTAGGCAATACCATTCCGGACATAGGCATGGGCAAGGATTTCATGACTAAAACACCAAAAGCAATGGCAACAAAAGCCAAATTGACAAATGGAATCCAATTAAACTAAAGAGCTTCTGCACAGCAAAAGAAACTACCATCAGAGTGAACAGGCAACCTACAGAATGGGAGAAAATTTTTACAATCTACCCATCGGACAAAGGGCTAATATCCAGAATCTACAAAGAACTTAAGTTTACAAGAAAAAATCAAACAAACCCATCAAAAAGTGGGCAAAGTATATGAACAGACACTTCTCAAAAGAAGACATTTAGGCAGCCAATAGACACATGAAAAAATGCTCATGATCACTGGCCATCAGAGAAATGCAAATCAAAAACCACAATGAGATACCATCTCACACCAGTTAGAATGGTGATCATTAAAAAGTCAGGAAACTACAGGTGCTGGAGAAGATGTGGAGAAATAGGAACGCTTTTACACTGCTCTTGGGACTGTAAACTAGTTCAATCACTGTGGAAGACAGCGTGGCGATTCCTCAAGGATCTGTAACTAGAAATATCATTTGACCCAGCCATACCATTACTTGGTCTATACCCAGAGGATTATAAATTATGCTACTATAAAGACACATGCACACGTATGTTTATTGCAGCACTATTCACAATAGCAAAGACTTGGAACCAACCCAAATGTCCAACAATGATAGACTGGATTAAGAAAATGTGGCACATATACACCATGGAATGCTATGCAGCCATAAAAAAGGATAAGTTCATGTCCTTTGTAGGAACATGGATGAAGCTGGAAACCATCATTCTCAGCAAACTATCGCAAGGACAGAAAACCAAACACCGCGTGTTCTCACTCATAGGTGGGAATTGAACAATGAGAACACTTGGACACAGGGTGGGGAACATCACACACTGGGGCCTGTCGTGGGGTGGGGGGAAAAGGGAGGGATAGCATTAGGAGATATAGCTAATGTAAATGACGAGTTAATGGGTGCAGCATACCAACATGGCACATGTATACATATGTAACAAACCTGCACCTTGTGCACATGTACCCTAGAACTTAAAGTATAATAATAAAAATAAAATTAAATTAAAAAAATAAATAAAAAACTGTTGAATTATTTGATCCACTCAATACCTAACAGGCGAGTTGATGTATCTACTGATTTTAATCCTCACAATTATACTGAACTGAATGATTGTTTTGGTGTCATGCACACAACACGCTTAAGTTTTCCATTGGCCATGCCTATGATTTTGTGTCCTTTAAGGTATGACTATAGTGATCCCATATAGTCAAATATCTGGGAAGTTCTTGCAAAACATGGAGAGTATCTATTACTGTCAACATGATGTGATCTCATTATTTACAAGTAAAAGTTCAGCACCAAATTATAGAACAGATTTCAGAATAGAATCAAACTATAGAACAGATTTTAAACTCATTTTCAAATAAGTTTTATGCTATGAGGAAGTTATTTCAAAATATTCCATCACAGAAAGTGTGACTCATTGAGAATCCAAATTATTCATTGTGTATTATGACTAACATTCTTAATGTGAACATTCCTTAATGAGTAAACCTGCAGTGTACAAAAATAGTAAAATATTATTCAAATATCACCACATAGTAACCTCCTTTTCATCCTGTTGGGGCTCGCACACATGGAACAAAGAACAAAATTTTAAAAATAAGCACAGGGCCATCTAAGCAGTAGAATTTTTAACCATGAAAGGTTTTAGTATTTATTAGGTGGACTGATTTTTTTTTAATTGGCTGTACCGGGTGCAGTAATCACACCACTTTGGGAGGCCAAGGCAGATGGATTGCTTGAGCTCAGGAGTTCAAGACCAGCCTGACCAACATGGCAAAACCCTGTCTCTATCAAAAATACAAAAATTAGCTGGGCATGGTGGCACACACCTGTAGTCCCAGCTACTCTGGGGGTGAGATGGGAGGATCGCTTGAGCCTGGGAGCCAGAGGTTGCAGTAAGCCAAAACGGCGACACTGCACTCCAGCCTGGGCCATAGAGTGAGACTCCATCTCAACAAAAAACAACAACAACAACAACAAACAAAACAAAAGGCTAATGCAGATATATCTTACTAAATAATATCCCTCTTCAAGTGTGTTTCAAGAGGAACACACTTGTTTGTCCTACTTTACTTTCCCAAGCCTAAATTAAAGATTAAAAATAATTTCCTTTGAGTTTTTTCAAAATAGGCTAAAGGAATGGCTAATAACCATAAAGTATGATTGAATAATGCTCCAAAATTAACAGTTGGCCTTTCATTTGATATTAACTATCTCTAGACATTAATCCTATAAAGTTTTTAAAAAGAAAAGTTACTTTTCTCTTCACTTGACATTTAAGAGTCTTGAATACAAAACCCTGAAACATGATATAAAGATGTTCTAGATAGCATACACTTACGAAGTGCATTTTCAATGAGTAGTCCATATTCCTGGGTTCACTCTCAGAGCACTGCTTCTTTCTTTCACTTACTTTTATTCTAAAATTAGATATGGGAGGAAGGAATCATAGTCTTTCTGTTATGCTTCTGATTCATTTATTTCACAAATACATTTGGGTACCTACTATATGCCAGACATTAGTGTAGGTGCTAATATACAGCAGTAAACAAAACAGTCAAAAACCTCCCCTCAGAAGCTTCTACTTTTCTTACCCCAATATTTACAGTACTCTATTATGAAAAAGTAAAGAAACAAAAAATATGTGGAAAAAAGAGAATGCTTACACAATGCTGGTGAAAATGTAAGTTAGTTCAACCCCTGTAGAAAACAGTATGGAGATTTCTCAAAGTACTAAAACAGAACTACCTTTTGATCCAGCAATCCCATGACTGGGTATCTACCCAAAGGAAAAGAAATAATTTCACCAAAAATCACCTGCACTCGAATGTTTATTGCACCACTATTCACAATACCAAAGTCATGGAATCAACCTGTGTCCATGAATGGTTAAGTGGATAAAGAAAACGTGTGGTATATATATATACACAACGGAATACTAGGCAGCCCTAAATAAGAATGGAATCATATCCTTTGCAGTAACATGGATGGAGCTGGAGGGCATTATCCTATGTGAAATAACTCTGAAATGGAAAGTCAATTACTACACGTTCTCACTTATAAGTGAGAACTAAACAAGGGGTACACATGCATATAAAGACGGAAATAATAGACACTGGGGACTCCAAAAGGGTGAAGGGAGTGAGGTTGAAAAATTACCTATTGGGTATAATATTCACTATTTGGATAATAGGTTCACTAAAAGCCCAAAGCTCACCATTATGCAATATATCCATGTAATAAACCTGCACGTGTATCCCCCTGAATCTAAAGTAAAATAAAATAACAACAATAACAGTAACAGCAACGACAACAAAATCCTAGAATAGTGGCAATTGGATTCTGGATTATCTATTACCTCTCCTGTTATTTGCCCCAATAAGGCTATTTATGTGACAATGTTGTAAACAAAGAGTTGCAACGACACTGACATTATGTGAAGCTGCTCATGATATTGTTTGAAAAACAAAGACTAAGGGGAAGTATGAAATAGTTTGCCCCCAAAAGGGGGAAACTGTTACATTTCATTTGATCTTCTGTTTACATTGAGAAGATGTAAACTCAATGTGTACACAGTTTTTAACTTCAACTTTTTTATTTTTACAAGATAAACTTATTTTTCAAACCTGTTTTGAAAGTCTCTTGTTCTTTGTGCCCTTTTAAAATGCCATCATTTGCTTGTTTAAATATTTTATAATATTTTATATTTGTAAATCTTATAATTCAAATATCTAAAACCTTTGTAGGTTTAAGCGTTTTGCTTTTTTGTTTCTTCTGACTCATTTTTTACCTGGTGATTTTTAAAAATTGTGATGACTTTTAAAAATGTTTTATTTTGAAATAAATCCAAATTTAGAGAAGAACTGAAAGAATACAAAGAACTATATATGCCCTTCACCCACAGACCCCAAGAGTTTCACCAAGTGTCCCAGTTTATCCATTTGACCCAGCCATCCCATTACTGGGTATATGCCCAAAGGACTATAAATCATGCTGCTATAAAGACACATGCTCACGTATGTTTATTGCAGCATTATTCACAATAGCAAAGACTTGGAACCAACCCAAATGTCCAACAATGATAGACTGGATTAAGAAAATGTGGCACATATACACCATGGAATACTATGCAGCCATAAAAAATGATGAGTTCATGTCCTTTGTAGGGACATGGATGAAACTGGAAATCATCATTCTCAGTAAACTATCACAAGAACAAAAAACCAAACACCGCATATTCTCACTCATAGGTGGAAATTGAACAATGAGATCACATGGACACAGGAAGGGGAATATCACACTCTGGGGACTGTTGTGGGATGGGGGGAGGGGGGAGGGATAGCATTGGGAGATATACCTAATGCTAGATGACGAGTTAGTGGGTGCAGCGCACCAGCATGGCACATGTATATATATGTAACTAACCTGCACAATGTGCACATGTATATATATGTAACTAACCTGCACAATGTGCACATGTACCCTAAAACTTAAAGTATAATTTAAAAAAAATGTGAACCATGGTTAAAAATAATAATAATAATAATAATATACTCTATAGCAAAGAATCCAATCTGAGCTCACACAATGCACTTAGTTCTTCTGTCTCTTCAGTCTCCTTTAATCTCAAATAATTCATCAATCCTTTCTTTATCTTATTTTTTTAAGATTACAGGCCAGTGATTTTGCAGAATGCATCTCAATTTGGGTTTCTATAGTCTTTCTTTACGATTAGATTCAGACACTAAAACTACTATGTTATGACCTCAGGGCAACATATCAGGAGGACCATGATGTCAAATGTTCGCATACATTGCTGTTTCTTCATTTAATTAATTCCTGCTATAATGGTTGTCGTAATTTTCCAATTGTATCACTCCTTCTACATTTAAAAGTCAGCATTCTTATGTAAAAAGATCCTTTTCTTATCTCCATGTATTTATTCACTTATTTGTATCAGAGAGAACTCAACAACTCCCATTATATTCAATGTGATATAATTAATATCATTATTTATTTTAATGCTCAAATTGTCCCAGATTTGGTCAGTGAGAGTTCCTTCAAATTATTTTATATCTTTTTCACATGTCTCCACCATTCTTTGACTATGGCCTTACTATTTAATATAAGACACTACAAAGCTTATATTATCTCTGCCCCAACTCTGAAATCATCCATTTCTCCAAGGAGGTCTAGCTCCTTTTAGTGAAAATGGTATTTAGAAATCAAGATTTAGGTATTAGGGAGGCTCTTTACAACTGAAATCTCTCAGGCACTCTCAATGGACAAAGCAATAAAACATATGCATCATATATACACACATATCTATAGACATATTTTTACGTTTAATTATTTCTATAATCTACATATTAAAAACCATAAATTCACAGCAATATTTTCAATTCCAATCCAACACCACATTCTGTCTTCTTCCTTTTCATATTAGTAACCTCCATGTTCCAAAGTGAGAATGGGATTTCCATTATCCTAAGTCTATTCACTTATTTGCTCAATTCCCCTATATGTAACCAGTTTCCTGACCCTATTGGACCTCCACTCCACTTGACTGCTTAAGTGACCCTCATAAATTCATATTTAATAGGAATTAATCTGTGGGAATCCTGAAGACTTCCCACAATGCGGTTGCTTTCCTTTAGAAAGAATTTGTATTTCCTTCTACCCAGAGCCTAGAACACTTCCAATGTGAGACCATGTTAGCTCCTCCTACAGAGGATCTTAGTTAATCCAGGAGTCTCAGGTTAGCAATCTCCTGTTACAGCAAGCCTTAGTGGAATCTCCTGATCTCACTATTTACTGCTGACTTTTCTGATCTCAGTTCTCTGGAGTTTAGGGGAGGAATTGTTTTTGAAGGTGGGGTGTTCATTTTTTTTATGTTTAGGTGTTCTTTGTTTCTTTATTTCTTTGTTTTTTGCCCTTAACGACTTCCCCCTGGGTCTTGGAATCCCAAGAAGGCTTTGAATATTGGGTTTATGATTTATCCAAGTTAAGTTGTACTAAGCAGTAGAGTCCTTCAGAGTATCTAATCAACCATATTTTGTCTTTATGTGTCTACATGCTTATCTGTACTGATTTTTCCCTAAATTACAAAACTATTAATGTCCTTGAAACACCATGAGACTCTCTGCTACAGCCTGGTTATTGGTTCAAGGCAGAAAAACAAGTGAGACTAGAGAAATTATTGGCCAGCACTCTGACTTTGTTCCTATCAGAAGGTAGGAATTATTTATAGCAAGGTTATAGTAAGTATTTTTTTAATCTTAAAGATAAAAGGGACATTAACATTCCTTTCATCCAGTTCCTTAATTTGACACATGGGAAAAAGGCAGCCCAACCAGAGAGGAAGGTTTTCTACCAAAGTAAATGGCATTTTGGTGGGATTGCTTAGATTTATTTAGAGTTAAGTTCCCTGGTCTACAATCCCTAGTTTATTTGTAACCAATCTTCTTTTTCTAACCAAACACTACAATTTTTTTCATAAGTACATTTTAATATGTTTTCCACTTATTAAAATAATACATGATCATTTTAGAAAAAATTTAAATGTACAAAAAGTATAAAGAAAATAAACTTTATAATCCTACTACGTAGAGATAACTACTATTAACATTTTGGGGTGTCTAACACTTACATGGTTTATTTTCATAGCTGAGATCATACCGTACAGTTCTGTATCATTTTTTCACATAATATATCGTTAATATTTCCTCACCTCATTAAAAGCTCTTCATAAGCATTATTTTTGATGCTACATAATATTTCATCATATGGTTGTACTTAAATACCATGACCTCTTCACCTTCATTAAATAGTTAGGTTGTTTCCATTTTTCCTATTATACATAATGTTCTAAAGGATATTTTTGTTCATCAATTTTAGTCCACACCAATGATTATTTCCTTAGGATTTACTAGGTCAAAGGATCCACTGACAAACTGCTTTCCAGAAAAATGACATCAATTTATGCTACCTGTAGCTGGGTTTCAGAGAGCTCATTTCATCATGTCCTTACCATGGTTCTTTCATATGGGCTTGGCCATTCTCAAGTATTGCTTTTCATTATGTTTCTAAAGTTTGAAGTTAAAGGGCTTTTGAATTATGGAGTGGGGGTTGGAGGTATTATGGACAGCCTTCCAAGTAGATAGACCTGTGTAAAGATGACCAGAGGAGCACCTGAAAAGCCCTGTGGCCTTTCTTCCCTTCCCTGTGGCAACACGGCCTTGTGGAGAGCACAGTCTCTGCCATTTGACATACCTGTCCCATTCCCATCTACCCATCACCTGTGTAATATCGGGGGAGAGAGGTAAGCCTCACGAGACTTATTTTCCTTATCTGTAAAATGAAATATTAATGCCTATCTTGCTGCAGGGATTAAATGTGAAAGTGCCTGATATTTTTCCTTGCCCCTGGTTAGTCCTTCCTATCAAGGTTAAGGACTATTTCAAGAGCTAGATAAAACAGGGTACGTGTCTTCAACAGGTCACAGCATATACACTCTCCCATCATTTATCTGACTGGCGAGTTGAGATATTAAACGCTTGCATGGTTGTAATCTTGCAGAGTGAAAGTATGGGGCCTTCAAAACACCAGCTTTGGGGAGGGAACATCTGGGAATATAGAAGCCAAAATGGGAAATTTTCATAAGATTTATTTCACGATATTTCAACTGATAAGATATGGTTGCTGTCTCTAGGAACACAGAGGTGACTGGCATGGAGTTAACTGTTCATTAAAATGGATCTCACCCCCTATTGTATATCTACTGTAAAGCTTTTTAAAGCTCCACTCAGACCAACTGAGCTGGAATCTCTGTGAGATGGAGCCCGGGTATCTGTAATTTTAGAAACTCCCTAGCTGATTCTGATTCATGGCCACAGTTTACATTTAATGGATAGTGTGGTTCATAGGTTCTGGAATGTGAGAGCTTGGAATGGTCATCCAAACCTTTAATTAAACACTCTTGATTTATGGATTAGCAACTCAAGCTTGAAGTCTGTCAGTTACCTGCCAAACATCACATAGTTTGATAATGATGGGATGAAAATCTAGAATTATAGTACATTGATAGAATATCTTTAAGAGGTTTAGTAGCAAAAAGACAAATCTCTTAGAAAGCAAAAATTAATTTTTTGAAAGCAATTACTGCCACTTGGCAAACAGACTTTACCGCTTTCTTTTTAGAATTATCATATTTCATGTTGTATGTATATGCAGGATGAAAAAATCAGATCTCAGTTCTCACTTGGATAAAGGGCCAAAAAATACTGGCTTTGCCACTTGCTCTCCCCCAGGAAGTGAGCACTCCTGGCTGCAATGCAGTCTTTGTTTCCTCTCCTACAGTACATTCAGTCCTCTTTTCTGGTTTTCAGAACTGCTTGAGTGTGCAATGATCCAGGTGTAGATGATGTGAAAAAGGTCCTCCACTGGCAGCCCCTCTAAAACTTTTTAATTTCTAAAGTGTAATTCTTATATTGCCATGAACTTTGGGAAGATGCCCTCACTCTCCTTAATACTGTTTCTTCTTTAAATATTGGGAGGGGGGTGGCAGATGTTAAAAATTGCTTAGGTATACAATAGTGGAGGTATGATGATGTCCTTGGGTGACAAAAGGACTTAACTAAATCATTTTTTTTTTTTGCTGTTTAATTTTAACTACAGACAGCCTGTTAATGAACTTTTAATCACATTATTTATGAAGTCTTAACTATAACACTATTTTAACTTTTAAAGGTTTCCAGGAAAAAAATGCCTACCCATACAAAAATGCCTGGCTGGTTTTTACTCATTTGGGGCCATGTTGGGAAACACTGAGTCCTAAAATATCGCTTAACGGCCCTGGGTTCGCAGCTGACAAGTTCTTAACATTTATAGTGATTCTAGAGACCCTCCGTATCTACTGCTACAGTTCCTTCCCTCAGTATTTTTCTTGGATTGGATTTATGGCCAACTGGTTGTAATTGACTCTCTACTGGGACAAGTTAGGATATGAGCATATGACTTTCCTTTTCAAAAAAAAAGGGAGAGAGAAAGAGAGCAAGAAAGAGAGACCAAGAAAAAAATCATCATTGATATTTATCTTAAACCTCCTTCATTTCCAGCTTCTCTGGCAGCAAGTCAAGCTGCTGTCATAAAGTAGAACTCTAAGTACGAGGGGTTTCTAGAGAAAGGATGCTGCGCTGAATGCACAACCACATAAGAAAGAGCTGAATGAAAAAAGACAAGCATTTTCTATTTTTTAGGGTACACACGACACCTAAGTCTTGCCACAAAAGTGGAATCTGCCACCTGAGATTCCAGGCTGGAAAGGAAAAGTGGTCATAAACAGTCTAAGCTGTCTAAGACAGCGGATGTGAAAATCTCTATCAGCAATTCCCACAAGCAAAGCCCTGTCAAGCTATGCAAGCCTTCCCAGCCCCAGCAGTGCTGTTCCCCAGCTCTCTCCATGCAACTGATCTGTGGGTCTTTTTGCAGATATTCATTGATTACACTACTTCCCCAAAGAAAGAAAAACTAATTAAGGTTTTACACATTACATGAGACTCTGAAATTATTTATAGTTTAACCCACCATGACTGCTTTTGAGGAGAGAAAAAAAAGAAATAATTCTGTACATGGAAATGAAATGTTTATAAGTTTATCCCCTAAAAAAAACCTTCACTGCCATGGCTACTTTCCAAAGTACAAAATATTACTCTAATTTTAAAAATCTGAAATCAGGCCAGGTGCGGTGGCATACACCTGTAATCCCAGCATTTTGGGGGGTCAAGGTGGGAGAATAGCTTGAGTCCAGGAGTTCAAGACCAGCTGGGGCAACGTAGTAAGACCTCATGTCTACGAAAAATAAACAAAATTAGCTGGGTGTGGTGGTGGTGTGCACCTGTAGTCACAGATACTTGGTAGGCTGAGGTGGGAAGATTGCTTGAGCCCGGGAGGTCGAGGTTGCAGTGAGCCATGTTTGCACCACTGCGCTCCAGCCTGAACTCCAGCCTGAACTCCAGCCTGGGCAACAGAGTGAGACCCTGCTTCAAAAAAAAAAAAATCAGTCATGTTCCCAAGCTCTTTAATTTTATCATCAGTCAACTTGGAGTTCTTACTTTCATGTGCTGGAAAACAAATCAATGCAAATCATTCTATTAAACAGCTTACAGTTTTCCCTTCCAATGGACTCATGCAAAAGTTAAATACTTCTGAATCCTGTTTTATGTTAAAGTCCTGATAATGTAAATAGTCCAGTGGAGCATTTTTAGTCATAAGCACCAAAAGAACATCACACACCTGACTGCTTTACCTGGGTATGAGCAAAGAGTGCTGGTTTCTGTACAAAGCTGTTGACCACAGTGGATTGCCCATTCAGGTTGCTGAATAACATTCAACAGAATGGGAGGACTGTTAATGGTGACCACCCGATTCAAGGTGTCAGCCCACCTTGGTTTTGATTCCTCAAGCTTCACACCATCTTTACATTCTGCCACGGTGAAGCAGAGAAGCAGCAGCCCTGGCACACGGCATTCAACACTTATGGACCTGCTGTTGCCTGGAGAAGGGCATATGGATGCAAACCTTGGGTAACATGGACTTCAGAGAGCATTACTGGAGCCCTGTGCTCAACTATGAGAACCAGTATCCTCTAGTAATAAAAGGAGCCAAGAATTTTTGAATGTGTAATTGTATTAAGGCCTTAAAGCATTCACAAGAACCTGAGAAGGGAGGTAATATTATTATTTCCATGTTATAGATGAAGAAACTGAGGCTTGAAAAGTTAAATAACTTGTCCAAGACCACATAGCAAGTAGCAGAGCTCACATTAAAAACTGGGCCTACCTGTTTCCAAAGTCCATGCTCATAACCAATACACAATACAGGGAAATTAACAGTCTCTTCAACAGTGCCATCTACTAACCTGGGCTGTTCATGCTGCTTCCCCTGCAGGGCTGATACGCTGAGGTAGAAGGATACCCACTCAGGATAGACAGAAAGAATCAAGTGCTTCTTGGACTGTTTCAGTAAGATCAGTGCCTTTTACTCAGGGTATCTTAAATGGCACCTCTGTTTGTCTTGACAAGATCCTTATGAGATTGGGTGACATAATCACAGTTCTACAGACGTGTTACAGTAGTTTGGGGTTCTATCAGTGGTTTCTTTATTTCTTGTTTAGCACATAATTTCACAGTAACATAAATGATTTATTTAGTGACTATATGTGTGAGGCTTCAGGCCGAGCACTTTGCAACTTGCTGCAGGCCATTAAACGGCATCAGTAATTGGGTCATCCCTGAGAATCTATCTGTGGGTGGACCCGTGCACCCTCCAAATGGATAAAACTCCCATGTGGACAGATTAGAGATGTCATACCACTACCCAATCCCCAAGATATTAAGAGTTGCCCTGGTAGTGGTATGCACCTGTGTAGTCTCAGCTACTCTGGAGGCTGAGGTGGGAGGACTGTTTGAGTCCAGGTCACAGCTGCAGTGAGCTATGATTGTGCCACTGCACTCCCCCGCCTGGGAGACAGAGCAAGACCCTATCTCTATAAAAAAATAAATAAATAATAAAAAAATTTTTTTTAAAGAATAGCACTGTTTCTTGGACACTAATTCTAAGAAAGGCGCCTTTTTACATCTGGCTCAAGCCCTGAGTCAGCAACTGGAAACATATACTCTAGGTATGCTAAGGAGAAACTATTAACCATGCAAACTAGCCCCAAATGGCTTTTCTGATTATTTGTTAGCATGCAGGTGGCTTGGAGAAGAGGACTGCAATTCTAGAATGTTAGTTTTTGTAGTATGAGAAAATCATAACTTTTTTTTTCCAGGAACTTGTTTTGCCATAGATTTAAGGCAGTAATTTGTTACAGGCAAGACATTTATAGGGGCTGTGTTATCAATGCTAGAATCATCAAGAAATTCTATCAGAAGACACAATGTTTAAGTATAGGTCTAATTACTGCAATCATTTCTTTTTGTTTCCTTTGCCCAGATCCACTTAATCCCATCTCTTAGTGTGGGCACAAGCTGACAGTTGCATGACAAGGAATGTTTCCCTTTGTAAAAAACCCACTTCCTTTCTGTGTAGTTTTAGCCTAATTGAAATGTTTCCTATTAAGCTCAATCAAGGCAGCAATTATCTAATTACTCACTTATGCTTTTCCAGCCAAAAATTTGCCTATGCTGGTATACTGGAATGAGAGTGAACATATTTATTATTGCTTTTACGTTTTTCTGTTTGGGACAATAATCATAAACATTTACTTCCAGTTCACCAGAATATATCTAATTAATACTGCTATTTTCTATAGAATCATATTACTGCAAGCTACAACCCAGTGTCGAGTGTGTCCCTGTCTATGAAATGTGCTTTCAGACTTGTGGTTATGCTACATGAGTGGTGTCATTGGAGAATGGTAATAAGGAAAGAGGCTAGTGAAAACAAATATCAAACAAATATTCAGTCGTTTCAAAGCCACGAGTTTTATGGCTTTAAAAATAAAAAGTGAATCACTTAGATTTAATTGAGAAAATAATTTTTATAGCATCACTTTAAAGAAACATGTATCCTGCATGTCTGGGTTTTCTCTTGATACAAATCCCTCAGGTCTCAAGATGATCACAACCAGTCAACAACACAGGTGGTCCACACTTTTTAGGTATAAATTGGAGACATATATCATTAAAACTAGAATTAATTTTAGAGTTAGTGACCCTGTGAGGTCACTCCTGATTAACTCCCATTTTGATTGAGGTTGTACCAAAACACAAGGGACAAACTGAGTATGAGGGATTGATATTTTCATTTCCAGACAATACATCTTATCATCATTCTCATCATAAATGTTAACTAGTGTGGGACTAACACAGCTGTCTGCATAGAAAAAGAACCCCAGAAAACTTGTATACTTCAGAGTAAATTTATAAGGAGGGAAAGGAACACCTCATCAATCCCTTAAATGTGGCCACTTGACAATCCTTCACCTAAGTTTTCCATAAACCCAGAAAATGACTACATTCGATGAGAATTGCAACAACAACAACAAAATAAGTCTAAAAGGAAAACATTCCCTTTACTGGGAAGAGATGAGAGTTTTTGCATTGTGTTGGTAAAGAGAGGAGCATTTTTTTTCATATACACAAAATGATGAATGAGCTATATGCAATATTAGTAACCCTAGAGATTAGTAACCTAGATAATGAGTTATCTACAAAGATAACACTTCACTTTCTAGTAACAGATTTATCTCAAGTATACTCTGAGTGATGATTAGTAAATTAAGCCTAACTGGCCAGCCATTAGGGATCGGGGAGATGTCTTTCCCCAAACTACTTGTTACCTGCTTCACAATATGGAGAGAAGTCTAGAAAAAGAAAATGCATTTTATCTTGAAGATGGTCCTAAGATTCAGGATTCTCTTCTGTTTGTTTATTCCCTTCGGGAAGGAGGACAGGACAAAAGGTATAGAAAAAGGGAGGAATCGATTTCCTTGTGGGAAGGAAGAGAATAAGGTAATCAGACATTTCCTTTTCACTGGTCCTTAGGAATTTGGAAGTTTTTGCATATATTCAATAAATGGCTGGAAAATGCATTTTTGTTTCCACATGTTTACTTAAAAGAAGAAAATAACAAGTCTCAACCTTCTGTCTGCAGTTGGACCCTTCCCTGCTGTTCTCTCTCAAAGCAGCTTTACGCACTCTAAAAAAGGGACTAAATTCAGTTTACCATAGGCAGAGTGGGAGCCTAGGGTTATTAGGTGAACCCATCATTGACTAAGAACAAACACAGAGGCCAGCGATATTGCGTATCTGTCTCAATCTGCCCTTAACTGACCCTAAGCAGCACCCAGATCTAGTGAAAGGCAGGTACCTTGAATCTAACAACACCTCTTCCATCACAGACTCACGAACCTCCTGCCTAGCACACAGCAATAAACAAAAGGAAACGTGGCATTAAACCAATGCAGTCCTCGTTTCCAACATTATTTAGCTCTTGAAAATTTCAAGTTGAGTTACCATTGCCTTTATTTCCCCTTCTTACCTTGCACTAGTTCTCATATTTCTATCCTTCCTCCACTGCAATAATTCAATAGAACTAATTATGTCTTTAAAAATAGTTAAATAAGCAAATGACTGAAATTCTCTTTCCGTTTTCCCTGATCCTGGGTCAACTGGCTCCTCAAGTTTGTCTGAATTGATCCCCTTTCACGTCTGGCCTGAGTCTTCTTTTGAGATGATTTGTATGATGTCTCGTTATACCTCTCAAAGTGTGTTGTTGAAGTGGTGCTGACTTATCCAATTTAAAGCAATAACTGGCTGGCAAATCTTAGGATCATCAAAATGTCACGCTACAAAAAATAAATATTCCACAATTTCTTAATTACAAATGCGGATTCTACATACATGGTTATCCTAAATTATTCATTTGTGAATCATTTTTCCATTTTGTGCAATTTTAATATCTGGTCAGTCTGTTGGTCGTTTTGCTTATAAGACCTATAATGTTAATGCTTTTCTGTTTTTTATAATAGTAAAGGCTTTGGCAGAGAGAACATGACAAAAAAAGTAACTTCTTTTATTCTAAAAATGCAAATTATTCTGTGATGCCTTTGAGTCTTTGACTGTAGGTCATGTGTTGCTGATGATAAATGAAACTACCTGCTTTTCATCAATCTATTAAGATTTTACAAATCAAAGTTATTCAACACAAAGCCCACCTACGATGGGAAAGTCTAATGTTAAAAACTTTCCACTTGTCATTGCCCAAGTTAAAAATGTAAGTCACACACTTTAAAGCTTGTAAAACTTATAACCCTGGCTACATATTGGAATTACCTGGAAGTTTTCTAAAAACACTGTTGGGCCTCAACCCAGAGATTCTGAATTAAATGGTATGTGGATTGCCCAGGTATCAAGACTTACGTTAAAATCAGCTGGGGAGTTTTTAAAAGTTTTGACACCCGGGCAATCCACTCCCTTACTCCTTCGCTCCTACTGAAGAACAACAACATAATACTGTAGCTAACAATTGGTATCACTTACCTTGGACCAGGCATTCATTTAATCTTCACAATAACTCTATGATGTAAATACTATCACTACACTCATTTTAAGATGAAAACTGAGGTTCAGAGAAGTAACTCGACCAAAGCCAGCTAAAACTGGCAGAACCTGCTTTCCAACCTGGGTCTCCAAAGTTTGTGACCCTCCTCCTATACTACCTCTCCAACTATTCTGTTTTCACCATGACCATAGCTGGCTCCCACTCTCCCTGCCCTCAGGGAATATCACAACCCTTGTGCCTTCTTTTGGTTAATGCCCTCATTAATAGTATAAATGATTGTATCTAATATTCAGCTAACTTTCAACTCCTGGTCCAGCAAACCTTCATTATCTTAGTTCTCTGTGCTTCACTTGATCATAGTATCTAAGTCATGTCTGCCAGCCTTAACTAGGTCCTCACCTGGTCGGCATTAGATAAGAATTACTTTCTATTGCATATGGTAACAGAATAATACAGTGGTTAAAAGAAAGGTCTCTGGAGCCAGACGACCAGGTTTCAAAGCCTAGATTCTTTACTTTCTAGCTTGGGCAAGTTACTTAACCTTTGTGTGCCTCAAATCCTCATCTACAAAATAGGGATAATAATGTGTTCTTGTGAGCAGAAAAGTAAGCTGTTGATTAAGCACATTGACTTGCTACATTCTGTTTGTTCTTGATACTGTTTGAATGTTTATCTCCTCTCCTAAAGTTTTCTGCTGGTATGAGAAAATGGCCTTATAGAACACCCAGAAGCAATGAAACTGGAACAATTAGGTGGAGGAATAAATGGAGAAAAAAAAAGTGGATGGAGAGGGAGAGTGGCCTTAGAGATGAGTCAGCCGAGGAGTCAGCACATTCTCACAGGAGAAGTGACTTGGCCACGGCCCTGTCTCCTCAGAGTGTGTTCCAACAGGAATGTGGTGACAAATATGTACAGAGTAAATGAGATGAGGAAAAAATGAAGAAGTTCAAAGTGAGGAGAAATTAATTCAAAAGAAAGAAGAAAGAGGGGAGCCTTGGAATTTTACCTACTTCTACTCATTAGTGTTTGACTTCACTAAGGGTAAGAGAAGGCTGACAGGGAAGAAATGAGAGGCAAGAGACAGCCCAAATCTTGGTGGGAGAGTCGGCTGTGCCCTGAACCACAGGACAATTTGTTCTTAGGACAAGAACCAAAGAAAAGTCAGTCAAGGATTACGATGTGGGAACCCTGATGATAAACACACTCAGGATAAAAGAATGAGGGATTCCCCCCGTCAATATTGTGGGTACAAAAATTGAAAACAGGGTGACATAATTCTTAGAAATGGAACAATTTGAGATTCAGTTCAATATTAATTAAACTCCTGCTATATGCCAGGCACTGATGATACAGTCTATGCTCCCGCGGAGCTATACTCTAAAGGAGAAACACTTTCTCAACAGGTGATCAAAAGAGAAGAGAGCAGGTGAGACTGAGGAGATGCTTTATGTTCAGCTGAGGATAACAAGTACAGATCAGGCTGTTGGTGAGGGCAGCTGAATGTGGCAATAAAATAACTGTTAGTTAAGAATAAATATTACTTCAGAAATATGCATGAGATGAGAAGTAAATGTTTGACTGAAGAGACATTAAAAGTAATATTTAAAAGTATATTATTTAGGTTGGGCACAATGGCTCATGCCTGTAATCCCAGCACTTTGGGAAGCTGAGGTGGGTAGATCACCTGAAGTCAGGAGTTCAAGACCAGCCTGTTCAACATGGTGAAATCCCATCTCTACAAAAAATACAAAAATTAGCCGGGCATAGTGGCAGGTGCCTGTAATCCCAAATACTCAGGAGGCTGAGGCAGGAGAATCACTTGAACCTGGGAGGCAGAGGTTGCAGATTGCACCATTGCACTGCAGCCTCAGTGACAAGGTGAGACTCTGTCTCAAAAAAAAAAAAAACAACTCTATTATTTAAACTTTCAGAGAGTGCTTTCATCCAAGTTTTATACACTTAGAGATACTGAATGAAGCCTATAATAACCTTAGGAGAACGTGATATCATCGTTTTACAAATGAGACATCTAAGGAACAGACAGGTTAACTTCTTTGCCCAAGGTTACACAAACAAAGCCAGCTTCAATAATAGAATTCATTTGTCTAGATTTCTTGCCAAGATGATGTCAGCCCAACCAACATTTTCCCGAAGTGCAATCCCTGGAACACTAGTTCTGCACAGTGTTATTATTTTAAGTTTCTATTTTATGGTAAAATAAGTCTTGGACATGCTGGTAAAGAGAGTTAAACAGGTTCCTTACTGTGAGATTTCTCAGAGCCTTAAAAACGATCATTTCACAGTGAGGGATATAGAATGTGGTGTTTCTTACACTTATTTGATCAGAGAACACTTATTTCATGGATTGTCTCTCAAATTTAGAGTAACAGAAAATATGCTGGAAAATACTGCACCAATGTGTGTTGAGTTTAGCAAGTTTGACAGATTTGGAATACGGACAGAGATATATAAATGTGATTCTTCTTCTACCTCATGAATCATGAGGAATCATGACAAGATGAATCTGGAATAAATAATCCACTTGGAACAGCTTGCCATTAAGCAGAAAGGGGCTGGTGCCACTAAACTGGACAACCACACTCCATAAATATCTAGGAAACTCTAAGCCTGGATAAGTGTATTTCATTATGGAGAAATCAGATACAAATAATGTCTACAGATAACATTTGATGTGAAATGTGTGACAAAGAAGAGCCTATTCACTTCTGATAAAGGACTATTATCCAAAACATACAAAGAACACTTAAAACTCAACAATTAAAAAAAAAAAACCTAATTGAAAAATGGGCCAAAGACCTTAACAGACACCTCACTAAAGAAGATATATGGATGTCAAATAAGTCTAGGAAAAAATGTCCCACACCATATGTCATTGGGGAAAGGCAAATTAAAACAACAATGAGACAGCATTACACATCTATTAGGATGGCCAAAATCCAGAACCCCAACAATGCCAAACGCTGGAGAGGATATAGAGCAACAGGAATTCTCACTCACTCATTCACTGTGTGAATGCAAAATGGCATAGCCACTTTAGAAGACAGTTTGGTGGTTTCTTACAAAAGTACACATACTTGTTCCATAGAATGCAGCAATCTCTCTCCTTGATATTTGTCCAAATGAGTTGGAAATACAAAAACCTATATGGGATGTTTACAGCAGCTTCATTCATAATCGCCAAAACTGGGAAGCAGTAGGTGAATGGATACATAAACTGTGGTACATACAGACAATGGAATATTATTCAGTGTAAAAAGAAATGAGCTATCAAGCCATGAAAATATATGAAGAAACTTAAGTCCGTATTACTCACTGAAAGAAGCCAATCTGAAAAGGTTACATAAATACATGGTTCTAATCATATAGCATTTTGTAAAAGGCAAAATTATGGAGACAGTAAAAAGATCAGTGGTTGCCAGAAACTGGAGGTTGGGGAGGGATTAATTGGCAGAAAACAGTGATTTTAGGGCAGTGAAAATCTCTGTATGTTTGGATACATAACATTATACATTTTTCCAGACCCATAGAATGTACAACACGAAGAGTGAATGTTAACTAGGGACTTTAGGTGATAATGATGTGGCAATGTAGGTTCATCAATTGTAACAAATGTACAAGTGGGCAGGGGTGATGTTGATACCAGGGAAGGCTATGCATGAGTGGAAGTAGAGGGTATATGAGAAATTTCTGTACCTTCTCTTGAATTTTGCTGTGAACCTAAAACTGCTCTTAAAAAGTAAAGTCTTTTTTTTTAAAAGCCTAATTATTGCCTCAGAGCTGAAGAGAAAGCAAGCAAGTTGTAAAGTAAAAAATACATCAAAGACAACTGAAAAGTTGGGGACCAAATAGAAGCAGATTGCTTGAAGGCTCACAAGGGGAGTGAGCCATTATTTACAATGCTTACGTATTATTTATTATCCATTGTCTGTCTTCTTACCCTTGAATGAAAACTTCGCAAGGAAAGAGATTTGTGTCATCCCCAACAAACCCTGACTGATCTACTCCAAAAGTCTAGAACAATGCCTGACACACATAGCAGATACACCAATAGTGAACGAATAAATGAATAAAAGAAAACTAACATATTAAAATCAGAATCTTTGATCTCTCCTACCACCTGTAATAAATTCTCCCCATTTTTTCCACCTTTGTCAATGAATACTCCAATTGACTTAGTTTCTTGGGCCAAAAACCTTTCAAGTTTGCCTCCTCTTTCTCTCATATCTTCATTCAATCAATCAGCAAACCAAATCAAGTCTACCTCTATATGTATTACAATTCTGATCTCTTCTTCCCATCTCCACTGCTACCACCATATTCCAAGCCACCATCATCTCTTGTCTGGCCTATTTCAATAGCCTTCTAAATATTCCCCCGTTTTCTCTCACACCTGGCTACTGTCTCTTTACAAAATAGTCTGAATTATCCTTTGCAGGTACCATCACCCACCATGCTCAAAACCCTCCAATGGCTTTCCACCAAACTCAGAATTCAGCCTTAGCTTTCCTCCTACTCATTGTGTTCCAGGCTCAGTGGCCTCCTTGCTGTCCTCTGATACATCCATTGCCACCTGCACTCCAAGGCCTTACATTCACTGCTTCTCCACCCAGACCCTTCATTCTCTCCTGCTTTGTGGTCTCTGATCAGATGCCATCCAATCTGAGAGATCTTCTGATGTGGTTTGGCTCTGTGTCCCACCCAAATCTCATATCAAATTGTAATCCCCACATGTCAGGGGAGGGACCTGGTGCGAGGTGATTGGATCATGTGAGTGGGTTTCCCCCTTGCTATTTTTGTGATGGTGAGTTTTCATGAGCTCTGATGGTTTAAAAGTGTGTGGCACTTCCTTTTTCACTGCCTCGCTCTCCCTGCTCCCATGTGAAGAAGGTGCTTGCTTCCCCTTTGCCATCAGCCATGATTGTAAGTTTCCTGAGGCCTCCCAGTCATGCTTCCTGTTCAGTCTGTGAAACTGTGAGTAAATTAAACCTCTTTTCTTCATAAATTAGCCAGTCTCAGGTAGTTCTTTATAGCAGTGTGAAAACAAACTAATACACCTTCTCCGACCACCCTATTTAGAATAGCAGCCTCACCACCACTGTGAATCACTCCATCCTTTTATCTTGCTATATTTTTTCATAGCACTTGCCACTTTCTGATTTTATATGCCTATTTAATATCTGTCCCTATCCCCTACTAGAATGCAAACTCCATAAAACTAGGGACTTATTTTACTAAGTAGCTTAACTATTGTAGCTTCAGCACATAGAATTGTGCCTGGTACATTATAGCTCTGGATAAGAATATGCTAAATGAGTGAATTACTAGCACTTGTCAAGTGCTTATTAAATGCCAGGCCCTTTAAATGCATTGTTTCATGGGATCTGTAAGAAATAGTATTATCAATTCACTTTATCAGTGAAGAAATTGATGCCCAGAGAAGTTAAATAGTTTGCTCAAGGGCACACACTGAGCAAGTAAATGAGTCAGAATTTAGATCCAAGCAGGCCAACTCTGGTTCTGAACCACTGAGCTCTTCATTCTGCTGTTATTGCTATGGCTAACATATGTCAGTCATTCTAATAGCCTTATTTTTTATGATAATTCCCAGAAATGTATTTTCTTTCACGCAACCTTTCATTTTTTTCTTCCTTCTTTCCTTTTTTTCATTCTTTCATTTGTTTGTTCATTCCTTCCTTCATGGGCATATTTGCTAAGCGCTACTTCTGGCACTGGGGATACAAATTTAAGTAAGACACATTGCCTACTCACAAAGAGCTGACTTGGCCAGAGGGAAGGCAAACATACAAACAAATAATTTCAAGATATCTATTTGTTTTCTATTTTAGAAAAATGGAAAATCATTTTACTCAACATCTTTTCCACTTTGCACTAACCTCCAAAAAGTTTTTGTCAATGTTATTGCCTAAAATATTGTAATCTTATCTCAATTACCCCAAAACAGGTAAATACTCTATTTTGCACTTTCTATTTATCTGCAAGTTGTTTCTGGTTACTTGGAAAGAAAATGTGGCATGAATAGTAAGTGATATAAAATATTAAATATTTCATTATTTATTAAGTCAAAACTTATTCATCATGCTCAAGGCACAGCATGAGGCACTGGGAGGGATTAAAATGAATATGACATGGTACCTTCTCCTCAATGAGTTCACAGTTAGGCAGAGGAACACAGAAATAATTATAATGTATGAAACCAAGCAAAAAGCACCATAAGGAAAGTACAGGCCATGATGTGTTTTCTGCAGATAATTCCAGCTGGAGTGGTGGGGATTTAAACACAGAGAGCCCAGCTCCAGGGTCTTTGTTCTCCACCATATCTCTCTACTATGTTCACAGAAGTTGGTGTGAATTTAGTACTGGTAAATAATATAAGGTAGAAAGTTTTCATCTCAGCCATTTTAATGTAGACTATCCAAATACTTCTGTGGAATTGTTGAGGACTCTACTAACCCTACCAGCTTTATCTGCATGTAGGATTTTCAGGATTATACCCTGGTCAGACTTTTAAAGCTCTTATATGACTTATATATAAAGAAGGAGCACACGTTCTTCCCTCCTTCCTACGTATACAACTTTGAGCAAGTGAGTCAATTCCTCTGTAGCTTGTCTGTAAACTGGGGTTAATAGGAGTACATACAGCATAGTAATAGGTGCTGAGGATAAAAAGATGATTAAAAAACAAGAAGAAAATTGAGAACTGTTTTCAGAATACTAAATGCGATAACATTCAGGTAAAATGATTACAAACTGTACAAAACAGTGCTAGTGAATTATCTTCCTGTGATCTACAGCCATGTATACTTATTAGCGGGAAGGGCTAGTCCATGATATTCTGGTGCTTTCTTTCCAGTAACTCCACAGTTCAGAAATGATGGTGTAGCAACAGCACTTCAGTGATTATTTACATTTGTAAAAGGTAACAGGTATAATTTAAGACTGTCTGGCATTATCTGCTACAGCTGAATATTTCTAAGGTTATCAGTAATTCCTCTTCTTAGGGTATACCCAACAGAAACAGTCATGTGTTCACCAAAAGACATTTCTAAGAATACAGTAGTCTCCCCTTATCTATTGAGAATATGTTCCGAGACCCCCCAGCGGATGCCTGAAACCACGGAAAATACCAAACCCTATACACACTACATCTTTTTCCTATACATACATACCTATGACTAAGTTTAATTTATAAATTAGGCACAGTAAGAAATTGAGAACAATAAAATAGAACATACATAAGAATATACTGTAATAAAAGCTATGTGAATCCAATTCCACTCTCAAAGCATCCTTTTGTACAGCACTAAGCTTTCTTCTTGTGACAAAGTGAGATGATAAAATGCCTACATGATGAGATGAAGTGAGGTGAACGCTACAGGCATTGTAATATAGCATTTAAAACTTATGAATTGTTTATTTCTGGAATTTTCCACTTAATATTTTTAGACCACAGTTGACCATGGAAAACTAAAACTATGGAAAGCAAAACTGCGGATAAGAGGGGGGGACTATTGTATTCATAACAGCACTATTTGTAATAGTTAAAAACTGAAACTACCCAAATGCTCATCAACACAAGTTGGAATATATTCATTCAACACTACACAGAAGTTATAATGAATGAATCACAACTGCATGCAAAAGCATGGATTAATTTCATAGACATCATGTTGAGCAAAGCAGCCAGACATAAAACATTATATACTCAAAGATGCACCTAAACAAAGTTTAAAAAACAGCAAAACTAATCTCTGACGTTAGAACAGTGGTTTCTCAGGCTTCTTAAATGAAGTTACATGTGGGAGACTCTGGAGTGCCAGTTATGTCTGTTTCTTTCTCTGGGTATTAGTCACATGGGCATGTACAATTGGTAAATATTCATCAAACTGTACACTGAAGATAGGTACTTTCTTAATGTATGTTATTCTTCAATAAAGTTTTCCCTTCCAAAATGCTGCAGATCCCCTTCACTGCCTAACACCCAAGGCATGGATTTCTTTGCTTGGTATATCACTCCCACCAAAGCCAATTTGGTGGGAATGAGAACTCACCCGATTTGAACTTTAATAATCTTTCCCCCCACCAGGCATCATTCCAGCAGAGACTACTGCTGCAAACCACTCTTAGAATCAATGTTTTCTTTGACTATGATTAGCTCATTGGTGCCACATGTTCTCTGTGGCGTTAAGACAACATTTTTAAAATGGCAAAGTATTAATAATGAAAGAGCCATTTGATGGTAAAAACAAATAAATAGTTTTTATTTTCCAAAAGCAACCTGCAGCCACCCACCAAATTCTATTTTGAAATGTCATCAGTGCTTGGGGAAAAAAACTATCAGTTGACATCTATTATTTATAAAAGACCCTATGAAGGCTATTAAAGATGTCAAGAATGTTTTATCTACTAACCTAAAACCTGTCTCAGACAGAAATAAAAATGGCTGCAGAGTCAACACATGCATTTCATGTTAATGCTGTGTTTGAGGACACCTGGGCCAAGGTTATGTGTTAAGTCAGTGAAAAGATGTAATTCATGGAGTAACTGAAAAATCCACTAGACAGGAAGACAGATGGATTGAACATTTTCTGTGCCACCAAGTGGCTAATGATTAGGTAAACACCTCTGAGCAAAACAAAATCCAGAATTGTTTCAGCCGTTCTCTGACCACCTCCTGCATCAGGTGTGAGCAGACATCAGCCTGCTGAGGGCTCCTCTGGAACAGGGAGCAGGTTCAGCGTCTCTGGGAGGGCACACCCTCCCTCCCACCCTGTAGAGTCCAGCTTGGTCAGAAGCACCTGCTGTGGAGAAACTGGTAGGGGGCAGAGCCGAGACTCAAACCAGGTTTACTGATTTCAAATCCCAATCTCATAGCTATTGCTGCATACAGCTTCCTAATTTTCAACACCTATTTTTGCCCTCTTACCAGAAGGAGGAATAAGAAGAATGGCAGGGAAGGAATTTTTTTTTTTTTTTTGAGACAGAGTGTCACTCTGTCACCAGGCTGGAGTGCAGTGGCTTTATGATCCATATCTATCCCTTCAGAGCCCAGCTGTGGGTCTCAACCAGCCGTCCAATGGGAGGCAGGGCTTCCGGTGATCTGTACTCACCGGAATAATCGAATCCCCTAAGGATACTGATTTCCAGAAAGTTACCTTCCAAATTATTCCAGCTAAGTGGACAGCCAACCTTCATACATCTGTACCACAAGTGCACAAGAGCGCACACACACATGCAAATGCACACACACACACACACCACGATAAAAAGAATGCTGGAGACAACGAAAGTCAGAGAAACAAGCCCTTAGGATTCCATTGCATTTGGACATGCATCCGCAGGAAGCTCAGGCAGCTCTTCAAGTTTAACCTCCTCCTGTTTTTGGTTCTTGGTTCCCATCTGTAGCCAATGTGCCATCTTGTTCCGTTTCCCTTATTGATTCCCTCAGAGCTACGTCAGTATTTGTCCATTACACTTTATTAAATTGCTATAATTGGACAGTACAAAGATATACAATTTTTTTCTTTTTTAGAAAATAAAAAGGGTTTGTACAAACTATAAAACACAACACAGCATCTGTTAAAAATTGAGTTCACTTATATAGTTATCATACTTTATAGTTGTGAAATACTGCACTTATGGATTAGATTTGTTTTATGTACATCTTGCAATTTACATTCCCTTATGGATCAACATATTGTATATCTTTCATGTGTAGATACACACACACACACACGATGTGATTCAAAGTTAAGATTTTTCAAAGCTATACATGCAAAATAAGTGCATGGGGAATTAAAATGCACCACACACAAAATGGAAAGAACTATAACATAAAACACGCATGTACTTGCCTATGAATGTGAAACAAAGTATATGGCCATTGTATCTCTGGAACTTTTTCTTTTCTCTTCATAAAAAATAGAGCCCATTATCCATTTGGGTAAATAACAATACAGTTGTCTAAAAAATAACTTTTTTTTCATGTTATCAAACTTTATTGCACATAACCTCTTTTTGGACTTCAGAATCATGCATACTTGCATTTATGCCTAATAAAGATGGTATTACAAATTTTAAAAGCCAAGGACAAGTTTAGATGTGACAAGGCAAACTAAATGTATACAAGGTATAAAAATAATTTTCTAAGTAATGATAAATGTATCACATTCTTGGCTCCAGCCCACCAACAATTCCAAAGATATTTAATAAAAAATAAACATCATTATGTAAACTAAAATGTAACATTCGAACAGATATATGTCTAAATATGAATACATGGGCTTTTTCCATTGTTGTCTCATTAATAATAGAATGGTCATTGGCACCCTTTTCTTAACTTTTTATAATATTTGTAAATGTTAAATAAAAACTAGTTTCAGTATTTTAAGTATGAGTCCTATTTTCCTCTCTTTGCCTCAAATATACCCTAATCTTAAAATATTATATATGTATATACATCAACATACATGTTGACGTATTTATCAAACAACTTGCTAAAATAAAGTCCCTCTGAAAAGATTTGCCAAAATTGTGCAAAACCAAGATTTGTAAGAATAGAACCTCTAGTATATCCATTCAATCCTTTGCTCTACTAGCTGGGGGAAAAAAAAGGAGGGGCCTTAAAAATTTCATACTGCCCGATCTATCAACATTTTTCTGAAATGCTACTCCAGAATCCCAGAACACCTTAATTTCCTTAATTCCTATTTTCCCCAACATTTTAATGTTTCTAAAATTGGGATTATCTTACAAATAATGCATATATTTTATGGTAGTTACCCTTTTAAAAAAAGCTATATTAAATTGATGTCATATCTGATAAGTGATGGAGATTTAGAAGCACAGAAATATATTAAATATAGTATTATTCATCAAGGGAAACTCTGTTCTTTTTAATTTGAAATTTCTTCCAGTAATATTTGCTAAGTTACTACTCACCCTACTCAAAGTGGAATCTTTACAATCTCCTAAAACAAACAAACAAACAAACCCAGCATAATCCTGGAACCAATCAATTTTTAACACTTTTTTCTACAATATCAATTAATGTTAAGACATTTTATCAGTTCACCAATGTGAAGACACCATAGGGTGATTAAGATATTAGAAGGATAGATGATAGAGACACAGCAAAACTTACTGAAAAGTGATAGTTGCCAAAGTGGCAGTACAAATGATCTGTTACAGAGGAACTCTCTGACAGTCTAACACATTGTTATTCCAAGAATTGCTCTTAACAATAGTCGGCCAGATTACCTGCTATACTTTCAGAAACTAGTCATGCAAAAGCCTTAGGTAAAAATTAGGTCTGATAGCCTGGAACTTATATTGGCATTAAAAATTAAGAACTTTGGCCAGGTGCGGTGGCTCACGCCTGTAATCCCAGCACTTTGGGAGGCTGAGGCAGTCAGATCACTTAAGGTCAGGAGTTTGAGACCAGCCTGGCCAATATGGTTAAACCCTGTATCTACTAAAAATACAAAAATTAGCCAGCCATGGTAGCGATTGCCTGTAATCCTAGCTACTCGGGAGGCTGAGGCAGGAGAATAGCTTGAACCAGGGAGTTGGAGGTTGCAGTGAGCCGAGATCACGCCACTGCACTCCAGCCTGACAGACAAGACTCCCTCTCAAAAATAATAATAATAATAATAATAAAGAACTTTGAGGCCATTCAGTACTTTTAGGCCACTTTCTCAAGAAATCTATTTCTCTTGGTAAGAAAAAAAAGCTTGTTCATCGATCTTGATATTATTGGCACGCTTTACGGGAAGAAATTATCAATAGTTTATTCATTTTTTCAGTGAAAGCATGATAGGCATATTTCAAAATAGACTAAATTCCATTTTAAAAACTCTCCCATTTCAAGGATTCTGCATTTACTTCTGCTAATTATAAAAAATTTGTCATACAATTTCCACTTAAACTTTCAACATCATTTTGCACTTACCATCCTCAAGTAAACTACCAATCCAAAATGATCGCACAATTTTTTTTTTTTCAGGTTCAAGCGATTCTCCTGCCTGAGCCTCCCGAGTAGCTGAAATTGCAGGCAACCACTACTACGGCTGGCTAATTTTGTATTTTCAGTAGAGACAGGGTTTAACCATGTTGGCTAGGCTGGTCTCAAACTCCTGACCTTAAGCGATCCATCTGCCTCAGCCTCTGAAAGTGCTGGGATTACAGGCATGAACCACTGTGCCAGTGAAAAAAGATTGTACAGATTTTCAGACTGCCTAAAACTCATGGTTGAAAGAGACTATCCAACTAATTTTCCAGGCTTCTTCTTAATCTAAATGTCACCGCATGTATTCTTTACTCCACAACAAGCGTTCATTCTGATGAATTACAGAACAAAATTGTGGACATTTGCCTCAACTATCTTTATCCAGATTTGTATGAAAAATGTACAGGTTAAATAAATACAGTCATGACATGGCTCTGTCCCTACAGAAAGTGACAAAGGAGGAGTTCCAGCCATTGCAATAGAGGATGTGAAATCCAAAGCTCACATAGTCCTGCAGCAACTGGAACCACATCAATACAAAGGTACCTCCTCTATAATAAATATTCAATTAACAATATAGGCACTGATTTTTAAACTACCTATTATGAAGAGTCACAACTACTCAATCCACCTGTTAGAGAAGCACCCCATAATTTTAACCACCTGGTATAATGCAGCGATGGCCTTACAAAGAGGTACAGCACTCACCACCAATTAGGAGATAATGTTAGTGAGGAAGGGAGAGACGCTTTGATTAAATGCTGATTTTTTGTTCCTTTTTAATAGATTTTTTTTCTCTGAAGTTTTATGTCTCAATGATCTTATAGTGAAGTTAAATAAAGGATGATGTGCAACAAAAAATAATTTTGTATCAAAAGACTACGAATGTATTTTACTGCTTCCAATCCAACTTCTGTTTTGCATGATCAAATAAATCCCAGCAAACAATAATTTGAAATGGAAAACCAATCTTAGTTCAGAAGAGTAACATGACTTATAGAAGAAAGTGCATGGGAATAAATTATTTGAGAGGAATCCGGGGTCCCAGGTAAAGACGAGAGCACATTAGAGCAAACATAAAGCCCTCTCTTAGTTCTTTTCCCCTACCCCTACCCCACCATCTCTCTCTTTATTCTTAATCTCACATCATCAGCTGCCTAGATTCTATTCATTTATCTTATTAATAGGCTTAATGTTTTTCTTTGAAACTAAGAAATAACTTAGATAGCTTAGGGCTGGCCACAGTGGCTCACACCTGTAATCCCAGCACTTTGGGAGGCTGAGGTGGGTGAATCATATGAGGTCAGGAGTTTGAGACCAGCCTGGCCAACATGGCAAAACCGTCTCTACTAAAAATACAAAAATTAGCTGGGTGTGGTGGTGCATGCCTGTAATCCCAGCTACTCAAGAGGCTGAGGCAGGAGAATTGCTTGAACCTGGGAGGCGGAGGTTGCAGTGAGCCGAGATCATGCCACTGCACTCCAGCCTGGGCAGCAGAGCAAAACTTCATCTCAAGAAAAAAAAAGAACTTAGATAGCTTGGTTTTGTAAGAAAAATCTGAGTTCAGAAAGACCAGGGGAAGAGAAGAAAGAAAAGAAGCTAGTTTCCATATGTCCCTAAATGTTCTCTTATCTCATTGGTGACATTTCTGAAGTAGTGCGTAGTGTTTAAATGAAAAGAAAATCCTCTGACTTATTTGTTGCCCTCTGAGCAAATTACTTTTTCCAATAAAAGCAAAAGCCTAGCCATAGAATGCCCAGTGGATGCTACAGAAGGAGTAACATCTTGACATCATCTAGTGGTCCAACTAGTTCAGGTATTAATGTTCACCATACAGCACAGGACAGGCACAATCAACTATAAATTCTCATTATAGAGAGTGGGGAGAGACAGGGCTCAGGACACATTGCTTTGCAAGCTTTAAAAAACTTAAGAAATTTTGACGTAAGTGTGAAAAGTGCCTCTAGAGCTCAAATAATTGTCTAATCTAGGTGGCATATGCAAGTGTGTGAACAGAATGGTGGGAAGAACGTTTAGAGTCAGAATATCTGCTTCAAATTATACTGTGCTATTTATTACCCGTGACCTTGGACCTACTGCCTCTTTTAGCCTTGATTTCCTTATCTGAAAATTGGGAAAACATAACCACATATATAATGGGATGGTTTAAGATTTAATAAGATGAAACGTGTAACCAAATGGCACAGTACAGAACATAGTAGACACTCAATAAACATTTCACACAACCAACTTTCCTACACTAAACTTGTGTGCTTCAGTCCATGACTTAAAATCCTTGTATGTGTGTGAAGAAACTAATATTCTTTCTGAAATGACCACTGCCTGACATCTGCCTTGCTTGAAATATTAGGATTCTCCTACCTCCTATTGCCATAGGTGAAATGATTTGAAGTTCACTCATACATTTATTGAGGACTTACTTTCTTCCTCAAGAGGCTTACAGTCTAACAGTAAGAAAGAAATGCAAACAATTACACTCCTGGGTGTAACTGCCACTAAACAGCAGGCTGGTGCTAAACTGGCAGCAGGCAGAAAAGGAGAAGGACATGAGCCTGAAGGAGCTCAGGAGGCTTTGGAGAGAAGTGTGACTTGGATTCAGGCTTAGGGGTCAGAGGAGTCTACCAATTATGAGAGTGAGCAAGAGGCCTTCCAGACAGAACCTAAAGAATGACCTTTAAAGTACTTTTAAATGTTTAAATGTATATTTAACAGTTTTGAATGCATATAAATCCTAAATTCTTTCTTTCCTTCCTTATTTTTTACTTTTTAGAGACAGGGTCTTGATCTTTCTACCAGGCTGGAGTGCAGTGGTGTAATGAGAGATCAGTGCAGCCTTGAACTCCTGGGCTGAAGCAATCCTCCTGCCTCAGCCTCCCAAGTAGCTGGGACTAGCGGTACGCACCGCCAAGTCCAGCTGACTTCTTTTTCTGTCGCCCAGTCTGGAGTGCAGTGGTGCGATCTTGGCTCACTGCAACCTCCGTCTCCCAGGTTCAAGCAATTCTCCTGCCTCAGCCTCCTGAGTAGCTGGAACTACAGGTGCGTGCCACCCTGCCCAGCTAATTTTTGTATTTTTAGTAGAGATGGGGTTTCACCTTGTTGGCCAGGCTTGTCTCAAACTCCTCACCTCAAGTGATCCGCCCACCTCAGCCTCCCAAACTGCGGGGCTTACAGGTATCAGCCACCGTGCCCAGCCTGACATTTTAAATTTTTGTAAAGATGAATTCTTGTTATGTTGCTGAGGCTGGTCTCAAACTCCTGCCCTCAAGAGATCCTCCCAAAGGGCTGTGATTACAGGCATAAGCCACCACACCTGACCTAAATTCTAAATCCTTATAAGTTATACATCCATATTAAAACACTCATCATTGTATACTTTTTCCATTTTTTCCAAGGACTCTAATTGAGATAATAAAAGTAATAAAGATTTATGTTTTTTGTGATTCATGAGAAAAACTTCTATAGGAATAAGCATTGATAGGAATAAATTGATAAAACCATATCAAACATTCTACTTTTACATATCTGTTATTAACTGGGAGGCAATACAGCAGCACCTTGATGTCTGGTGTAAGGAATTGCCTGCGGAGGTTCATGGTGTTCTCTCAAATAAAAATTCCATCCAGAATCACATCATCATCACCATCACTACCACCATCATTATCTCAGCTAATACGTTTATAGAGTGTATGCGCCAGGCACTGTTGCAAGCATTTGATATATAGGAATCCATTCATTCCCAAAATGATAAACACATCCTCATACCAAAAGTCAATGATCTTTTTTCAATTTTTGCTGAAATTTTCTAACTTGATAAGCAATTTTTACATTGGCTAGAGCATTCCGAGCACAGGTTTACAAATCATTTGTTATCTCTCTGTGGAGACATCCCTTTTTATAGACTTTTGAACTTTTACTTCATATCATACCCACCACTTAGCTCTTAGCTTTCTTTTCTGCTCTACTTTTCACAGACAAACTAAGTTTTTCTTCTTCTCAAGAGTTACAATATATTGATGACCAGACCGGAAGAACCAAGTTACCCTGAAAAGTTCTGTAGGATAGTCAGCTGGGCTATGCTCTGACTATGCCTATCCAGTACAAATAATTCAAATCCATGCTTCAGCAAAATGACAAATTAATACCTGTCAGGACTTTGGAACCACATATGAGTGACATCAAAGGTAATAAATCCAAAGGCTACTGTATATCACCGCTGAAATTAGAAGGTAGCATGATATGTAGTCTATATAATAAAAATTGTTCTAAAATTTAGGAATAAAGGTTTAAAACCACTGCTATCAAATTTCCTTTTTATTTTATCTTGATGCATCAAATGTGTTCTTTTTATATGTTATTCACATATTCCATCAAACTTGAAATTAACCCACTATAAGAAAAATTAACGCTGCAAATTCTGTCTCAAGCTCCCTTAAAATGAGATTATTATAAAATTAGAAGCTGAATTGTATGTCTGAGTAAAAACATGCCCATAAATAGTATAACCTGTAAATGCAGAAAGTAGGAAATAAATCTCAATTATCACAGAAAATTTAACCTCAGTTTCAAGGCATTAACAGAAAGTTTAGTATTTTCTGGAGTTTTAATAAATTTTAGGCAAATTCTGACTCATTATTTCATGATTCCATCATTTAATATACATATTACAGTGTTTTCCAAACCATGTCTGAATGTGCGTGGTAAGCCGAATTTCCCCAACTTTAGTAATAGCGATTTGGCTTAAAGGACTCAATTTTCATAATAGATCAAACACTTAGGACACTCAGTGTAGAACAACTGCTCTTGAAGTTAGAAGAATCACCACAAAGAATCCACAGTGCGGGGCTGTGTTTAACTTGTCATTCCCACTGTCAGAATGACAAAACTGATTTGATCATAAATAGTCTCCAAAGAAGGCCAGTGTGTTTTGGGGACACACCAACCTGGTCCAACCACTGTGAACTTAGAATTCGGAGAGCATGGTATCAGACTTCTTTGGGGGAGAGTGGTGGATTGCGCAGCTCAGAGTCTAGCTAAACAAAACTTAAATTGTTTATTTAAAAATATATGCTCCAAGAACCCTAATAATTGGAGTAGCATTTGAAAATAATAGCTTCAACAAATATAATTTTTAAAGACTTCCTGGCATTGAGAAATGCTGTTCTATGGGTGTGAAATAGAACACCAGGCTTTCTCCCACTGAAATCTGAGAGACACGGAGCTTGTTTTAACTATTCGTATGTCTATGTTGGCTTTACAGATAAAGATCAACTCAATGGCATTTTAGAAAATTAGTTGTGTCTAATCCCCAGTGTCCTAGTCGACATTTCCTTTATTAATAGAACAGGATACACATGGCTATGGGTGACCTCTTACTGGGTTTGCTATGACTATTGTAGCAGCCTGCAAAGTACAGCTGCTCTGTGAAGTACACCAGGATGCTCCAAGGGGGAAAACGCTTCATCAGTTTTCTCCTTAGCTTTCTGTATCTTAACCATCAAAGTTTCTTGAGCATTTGCAGGCTTGTTTTCAAAAATCTCTTAATATATAAGTAACACAAATAGACAACAAAACACTGATTTCTAAATTGCCCTCCAAAAACTACACCTAATATTTTGTTAGTGCACACTTTCATATAAAAGTACAACTGGTGATTTTTTTGTAAAATATTTACCCCTCACCCCCCTCACCACTCTGAAATTGTCATAAGTCATCCAGTAACAAATGGTGAGTAGGCCAGCGTTTATTTCCTTATTCTTTCCTACTGCCTTCTTTCCTTCTTTTCTTTACTTTTTATTTATTTTCTTTTTCTGAAGTACAGGCAAACCTCAGAGGCACTGCAGGTTAGGTTCCAGACCATTGCAATAAAGCAAGTCACATGAATTTTTTGGTTTCCCAGTGCATATAAAAGTTATGTTCACACCATTAAGTCTATTAGTAGCAGGCTATATATTCTATTAAGTGTTAAATAGCATTATGTATAAAAATAATATACAGATCTTAATTTCAAAAATACTTTATTGCAAAAAAATCCTAATGATCATATGAGCCTTCAGCGAACTGTGATCTTTTTGCTGGTGGAGGGTCTTGCCTTCACATTGGTGAAGGCAAGGTCCCAACTGATCAGAGATGACCTTGCTGAAGATTGGGGCAGCTGTGGCAGTTTCTTTAAAATAAGACAACAATTACTTTTGCCTCATCAATGAACTCTTCCTTTCACAAAAGATTTTTCTATAGATTTTTCTATTTTCTAATGCCTTTTGAGACCATTTTCCCCAGAGTAGAACTTCTTTCAAAATTAGAGTTAATCCACTTAAACCCTGCAACTGATATGACAACTAAGTTTATGAAATGTTCTCAATCCTTTGTTGTCATTTCGACAATGTTCACAGTATCTTTTCCAGGAGCAGATTCCATCTCAAGAAACCACTTTCTTTGCTCATCCATAAGAAGCAACTTACTATCCATTCAGGTTTTATCCTGAGATTGAGCAATTCACCCTCCACTTCTAATTCTCGTTCTCTTGCTATTTCTACCAAATCTGCTCTTGAACCCCTCAAAGTCTTCTATGAGAATTGGAATTAATTTTTTCCAAACTCCTGTCAATGTTGATATTTTGACCTCCTCCCATGAATCATAAATGCTCTTAATGGCATTCAGAATGATAAATTCTTTCTAGGTTTTCAACTTATTTTGCCCAGATCCATCAGAAGAATCACTATCTATGGGAGCTATAGCCTTCCAAAATATAATTCTTTAATAACAAGACTTGAACATTGAAATTACTCCTCAATCCATGGGCTGCAGAATAAATGTTGTGTTGGCAGGCATGAAAACAACATGAATCTCTTTATACACCTCAATTAAGGCTCTTGAGTGACCAGGTGCATTGTCAATGAGCAATAATATTTGGAAAGAAATCTGTTTTTCTTGGCAGTAGGTCTTCATTGTGGGCTTAAGATATTCAGTAAACCATGCTGTATACAGATGTACTGTCATCCAGGCTTTGTTGTTCCATTTATAGGGCACAGCAGATTTGGCATAATTCTTTATTATTATTATTATTATACTTTAAGTATTAGGGTACATGTGCACAACGTGCAGGTTAGTTACATATGTATACATGTGCCATGCTGGTGTGCTGCATCCATTAACTCGTCACTTAGCATTAGGTATATCTCCTAACGCTATCCCTCCCCCCTCCCCCCACCCCACAACAGTCCCCAGAGTGTGATGTTCCCCTTCCTGTGTCCATGTGTTCTCATTGTTCAATTCCCACCTATGAGTGAGAACATGCGGTGTTTGGTTTTTTGTCCTTGTGATAGTTTGCTGAGAATGATGATTTCCAATTTCATCCATGTCCCTACAAAGGACATGAACTCATCATTTTTTATGGCTGCATAGTATTCCATGGTGTATATATGCCACATTTTCTTAATCCAGTCTAGCATTGTTGGACATTTGGGTTGGTTCCAAGTCTTTGCTATTGTGAATAGTGCCACAATAGACATACGTGTGCATGTGTCTTTATAGCAGCATGATTTATAGTCATTTGGGTATATACCCAGTAATGGGATGGCTGGGTCAAATGGTATTTCTAGTTCTGGATCCCTGAGGAATCGCCACACTGACTTCCACAATGGTTGAACTAGTTTACAGTTCCACCAACAGTGTAAAAGTGTTCCTATTTCTCCACATCCTCTCCAGCACCTGTTGTTTCCTGACTTTTTAATGATTGCCATTCTAACTGGTGTGAGATGGTATCTCATTGTGGTTTTGATTTGCATTTCTCTGATGGCCAGTGACGGTGAGCATTTTTTCATGTGTTTTTTGGCTGCATAAATGTTTTCTTTTGAGAAGTCTCTGTTCATCTCCTTCGCCCACTTGTTGATGGGGTTGTTTGCTTTTTTCTTGTAAATTTGTTTGAGTTCATTGTAGATTCTGGATATTAGCCCTTTGTCAGATGAGTAGGTTGCGAAAATTTTCTCCCATTTTGTAGGTTGCCTGTTCACTCTGATGGTAGTTTCTTTTGCTGTGCAGAAGCTCTTTAGTTTAATTAGATCCGATTTGTCAATTTTGGCTTTTGTTGCCATTGCTTTTGGTGTTTTAGACATGAAGTCCTTGCCCATGCCTATGTCCTGAATGGTAATGCCTAGGTTTTCTTCCAGGGTTTTTATGGTTTTAGGTCTAACGTTTAAGTCTTTAATCCATCTTGAATTAATTTTTGTATAAAGTGTAAGGAAGGGATCCAGTTTCAGCTTTCTACATATGGCTAGCCAGTTTTCCCAGCACCATTTATTAAATAGGGAATCCTTTCCCCATTGCTTGTTTTTCTCAGATTTGTCAAAGATCACATAGTTGTAGATATGCGGCGTTATTTCTGAGGGCTCTGTTCTGTTCTGTTGATCTATATCTCTGTTTTGGTACCAGTACCATGCTGTTTTGGTTACTGTAGCCTTGTAGCATAGTTTGAAGTCAGGTAGCGTGATGCCTCCAGCTTTGTTCTTTTGGCTTAGGATTGACTTGGCGATGCGGGCTCTTTTTTGATTTTTGGCATAATTCTTAAGGGCCTTAGGATTTTCAAAATAATCAGTGAGCACTGGCCTCAACTCACCAATTGCATTAGCTCCTAAAAAGACAGTCAGCTTGTCCTTTAAGCTTTGAAGCCAGGCAATGACTTCTCTCTAGCTATGAAAGTCCCAGATGGCATCTTCTTCCAATAAAAGGCTGTTTCATCTACATCGAAAATCTATTGCTTACTGTAGCCACCTTCATCAACGATCTTAGCTACATCTTAGCTACATTAACACTGACTGTTTCACCTTGCACTTTTCTGTTATGAAGACAGATTATTTCCTCAAACCTCCTGAACCAATCTCTGCTGGCTTCAAACTTTTCTTCTGCAGCTTCCTCACCTCTCTCAGCCTTCACAGAATTGAAAATAGTTAGGGCCTTGCTCTGGATTAGCTTTTGGCTTAAGGGAAGGCCATGGCTCGTTTGATCTTCTATCCAGACTACTAAAACTTTCTCTGTATCATCAATAAAGTTGTTTCACTTTCTTATCATTTGTTTGTCCACTGGAATAGTACTTTTCATTTACTCACTTCAATAACTTTTCCTTTGCACTCACAATTTGGCTAACTGTTTAGTGCAAGAGGCCTAGCTTTTGGCCTATCTTAGCTTTTGGCATGTCTTCCTCACTAAGCTTAATCATTTCTGGCTTTTGATTTAAAGTGACAGACCTCTGACTCTTCCTTTCACTTGAACACTTAGATGTCACTGTAGGCTTACTAAATGGCCTAATTTTAATATTGTTGTGTCTCTTGGAATAGGCAGGCCCAAGGAGAGGTAGACAGAGAAACAGTCTGTGGAGCAGTCAGAACACATTCAACATTTATCAATTAAGTTCACTGTTTTACATGTACATGGTTCATGGTGCTCAAAACCAAATACAATAGTAACATCAAAGATTACTGATCATAGAACATCATAACAGATGTAATAATAATAATGAAAACATTTGAAATAGTGTGGGAATTGTCAAAATGTGACACAGAGACTCCAAGTGA
Source organism: Homo sapiens (assembly GCF_000001405.40). NCBI lineage: Eukaryota > Metazoa > Chordata > Mammalia > Primates > Hominidae > Homo > Homo sapiens. The sequence continues at coordinate 37,017,560 of NC_000014.9, forward strand.
GCACACGCTGCTGGGAAAATGGTGCCAATAGACTTTCCAGACACAGGGTTGCCGCAATCCTTCATTAGTAAAAAAACGCAGTATCTGCGAAGTGCAATAATAAAATGAAGTATGCCTGTATCTGAATGTTTTTTGCTTCTTCATTTCTAAAATCACTTATTATTATTATTATTTTTCGCATAATATGAATAAACAAAAAAACCCAGAATGGCCAATGAACAAATGAAAAGATTTTCAACGACATGCATCAAGGAAAGGGAAGGTAAAATAACACTAAGATAATATTTTCCCCTTTTGGATGGGACAATATAAAATTGAAGGAATCCAGCACTGGGGTAATTGACACTCTAATACATGGTTAATGGTGCAATCCCTTTCATGTACCTAAATTTTCATCCAGCAATTCTACTTTTTGGAATCTGTCTTACAGAAATACTTGTAAACTATGCAATGATATACATAATAATGACATATATGGAAATTGATTAAATTATGGTAGAGCTATATGATCACTCAACTTAAAAAAAAAGTAAATCTGTATCACAAATATGAAGGAATCCCCATGGTATTTTTTAATAAGAAAGAACAAATAGTAAAATAATGCTTATAGTATAATCTTTTCTTTACATGTACATATACATTGTCAAATTAATTTAGCTGCCTACATAAAAATTTCTATTTACAGACAAATGTCTCAAATTTAATACCTCCAAAATTGAGCTACTGATCTTTCCCTCAACACTGTTACCTATCTTACAAATTGGCACCTCTCTCCTCTCACCTGCTCATTCAATAAACCAGTGACATGAGGTGACAGATCTGTTAATTATCTTGATTATGAGAATCATTTCACAATGCACACATACATCAAAGCACTACATTGTATTCCATATACATACACAATTTTTATTTGTCAGTTATACCTCAATAAAGCTAGTGTTGGGGAAAGAAATCAGGAACATCTCCTCTTTCGTATTCCCTATCTCCAATCCAATCCTAAACATGTTGCAAATGTGTCTACTCTTCACTGTCTCCATTGTCATTACCCTTGTCTAAGTCTCCACCACATTTTACCTATTACAATAATTTCCTATCTGATTTCTTGTCTACTCTTGCAGATTTCTCATCTAGTTTTCACATCTGTTTTTAAAACACAATTTGGAGCACATCCCTTCATGCACTCTAAGTGCGTGGCTTCCCTTTGCACTTAGAGGAAATCTACACTTCTTGGCTTACACCACCCGCATAATTTCAACACAAATGACTTCTCTGACTAATGACATTATTTTTATAACAGCAATAATAATATTGCCAAATATTATTATTTTCTTGCTTAGGTTTCAAAAAAATGGTTTAAAAGATGGAACTATTAGAAAATACTCTGAATATAGCTGTGGGTTTATCCCAGGATCTACAGTTTGAACGTTATGTCTTGCTCCATCCTCTGCAATTGCATCCTTGTGGTTTCCCTGATATTCTTGCCCCTCCAATCTATTCTCCACACAGCATCAACAAAGGTCATCTTGCATCAGTAATATATTCATGACATTCCTTTGCTTAAGAGCCTTCAATGGTCAATGACAGCCTGACCTAGCCCCTGCCCACCAGCTCTCCAACCTCATCTCATGCCATTGGTTCCTTGATTACTATACTTCAGCCATGTGGCCTCTTCTCAGTTGCTCAGACACACCAAACTCTTCCTTATCTTGGAACTTTGTATGTGCTTCTCTGCTTGAAATACTTTGCCCTCTAGGCCTTATACGGCTGGCTCTTTCTTATATTTTTGGTCTCATTTTAAAAGCCACTTTTTCAGAGAGGCCTTCATTGACCAGTTTTTCTTTCTTCACATCCTATTCATTTCCTTAATATCACATATCACAAGTGAAATAGTTTACTTGTTTGTCCTCTGTCTTCTCAATATTCTGGAAGTTCTATGCAACATAGCAATAATAAAGGCATTGGTAGTGGGAGCTCTGGGGCATGCCTGAAGAGTTAGAAAGACATTTCAGCATATAGCATTAAGTCTTGAATTTAAGGAAATGTGTTAGGAGGGGAAATGAGGAAGGTCATTCCAGGTCAAGGAGACAACTGGTAAAAAAAAATTAAAAAAGTGTGTAAGAGGATGTCAAATCCCAGGAGACTGCGAGAGGTATTTGGGGCCTAAAAAGGGAAGTGAGTAACAACCCACTGAGGCTAGAAAGGGACATTGGGGCTGGAAAGACAGGTAAGACCAGATGGTGAAGAACTAAGGAGGCTTTGATCATCCTTGAACACTGGGGAGCCACAGCAAGTTTTTTTAAAAAAAGAGTGAAATTAAAGATGTAAGATATAGATGGAATAAAAGGAGGAAAGACAGAGATAACCTCCTAAAAGACAAATCTGTAGTTCTATCTCTCCTCACTAATAAAATAAATATAGGCAATCTAAACATGTGAGATAAAATAAGTATAATTTTTATTTAAAGTTGAATATATAAGAAAATAATACATGTAAACATTTAGTATAAATTCAAATACATTCTAAAGTTAAACTCTTATAAATAATGTAGTTTTAAGAATGCCAGCTAATTTTCCAAAGAAACCAGTGCCAACACTGTGTTAAATAAAACTCGATGTAGTTAATAAGAGTAAGTGCAGAGCTATTTGCCCTAAATAATAAAAAAAGTTTGAGGATTATAATCCATATATCACTCTGGTAAGCTGTACATAGTAAGGTTGCTGATTTATAAAAAAACAAACAAACTATAACATTTCAAGATACTAGTACATAAATAAGTCATTAGATTGAGAAGCTTAATGACTTGCAAAATACATGAAACTTAGTATTTCCCATTTAGAGATTCACCTAATCATCTCAAAAAAAAACACAGTAAATATGAAAAAGTCACTTTTTTTTTTTCAAATCACAGAGTTTAGATGTGACCTGATTTGACTCCAAATTCCACTGGACATTCTGTTACAAAATAATCAGAAATATACAATGTACTTGTTCAATTTGTTTGTACTATGTAAAATTGATTTTTTTCTTTAATACTAAAATTTGGTCCATCTGTCGGGAAAACAGAAAATGTTCTAAATATATACAAAGACTGGAAATGCTCCATTCCACTGGCTGTATCCTGTGGTATATGCATTTTCATCAGTATGTTTGTCTTGCAGACAAAATGAATATCAGATGGTGGTTTTGAAAAAGGGCAGACCTAACATGAGGTGATTAGTTTCAAAAACAGATTTTTATTCTTGATAAATTATTACCAAATACAATCATCTGTTGATTGAGGATATAAAACAAATTGGTCATACTACAACCCACAGGTTAAATGAAAAACGGAAATAATAAGTTTATTTAACATGGTCTTGCATTAGGTTCCCAGCAGTGCAAATCTAAGGCAAATAATTAGATTTCCAATTTAAAGGTATACATTTGTTAAGCCAGACGTTTCCTGAGGTCATCTATTTCTCTGTTGGCTAGTCTCACTGCACTGGCAATGTATTTAGGACATTTTCATTTAGAACTCTGTATTCCTACACCTTATATATTACCCTGTTCAAAGCCAGTGTTATAGTTTGATTCAGGGAAAACGCATAGTGGGCAAAGGACCGATTGTGATGATGACTGCTGGATGCAAATAGGGTTCCACTACATTGTTATATAGATGTAAAGAGAACTAATGACTTTAAAGAAGGAAATCCTAGGGCCAGAGGGAGTGGGGAGTGGGCAGAACTTATCAAGAGACCACTGCCAAACCAAACAAATGACAACCTCTTACACCAAGTAAATAGGACAACAAATACAGCACACTTAACATCTTAAACATCCACTTTTCTTTTTCTCAGGGCAACCTCTTCATTTTATGGTGAAAAATAAAAAGTTAAAAGACAATTGCTCTGATCAATAATATATTCTATTTTTACGAAACATAGCCACTAACCCTCCTCTTCCCCTCCTCTATTTCTTCAGTAATTTACAACTCTGCTATGTAATGTCTCTCTTGGGAGCAAAGAATCCCATTACAGATGATTCTTCTGTGCAGACTTCAGCTCTGTAAATCAACAGGCTGAGCTCTCTAACAGATTTTAAATCCCTGCTTGAGTTAGGTTGGTTCAACTTGTAAACTGGTCTGAAAGTTGGGGGCAGGGGAGGAAGGAGAGTTTGGTATCAGAATAAGTTTCAGGAAAAGAGCTTATAACACAATTTTTGTTTTTGTTGTCTTCCCCAGTAACTATTGTGCATTGATGTAGAACAGGGGAGTTCTAGAAATAGCAGGGATTGAAAAAAGTATATACAAAGGAGATTCTCACCATAGGAGAACATTTGCAGGTGATTCTAACAAGCCCAACAAAGTGTATCAGAAACATAAACTGTACTAATGCCTCCTTGGAGATAAGATATTTAAATGGTCTAGAGCATCTTGAAGAAATAAAGTTGTATAACAAAGGTGTGCCAGGGGCATTATTTATAAAATAAGCCTCTGAGAATTAGCTGCTTCATAGGGATTTTTTTTTTCCTACGAGGATTCATATGCCTTTATTACTCAAAAAATGAAAAGTCCTCTAGAAATCCATTGATGACATACATGAAATTTGAGAGACTGCCATTATTTTTTGTATAATACATCTTGTACAGCTAATATGTAGAGCATAACTAATTACATAAAAAAACTTACTTTGTAATAATAATTTTACACATATTATACTAACACTGATCACATTAGGAAACAGACTTTCATATTTCCATTATTAAAAATCTAACATAGTATAGTTTTCAATGTTTCACAATAAAAAAGAAAACACTATGTTCAAATTAAGCTGTTACTGAAATAGAACAATAGTGAGAATAGGAACAGAGACAGCAACTCTGTACCCCAACCCAATTGTTTCTGAAAGTCAATTCCATAAAAAAATCCAGTCACTTGGGGTTAACAAACTACCTTTTATGGTTATTATCAATGTATGAGATCTCTCTCTCAACAACCTCTTAGCAAAGTTCTTCCCAATCATCATCCTAGTATGAAGTCTCATCAGTTCAATCCTAGATCACCATATTTTATTTTGTCTACGAGTTTTGCTTTGAGTTTTTCCCAGCTCTTCGGCCTATGTGCAGATTAATCCTCCTAAAATATTACCCTAACCATTAATTAATGAAGTCTGGAATGTAAAATATTTGCATTTACTCAGTCCTGTGGTCTCAGGGAACAACCTTTGACTATGCCCAAATGTCCTGAAAACTAATATTGTTGTTAGTAAAGGAGTGAGAGAATGAATGAATTAGGACAAATCATTTCTACCACACAATCGTCTTCAAGCAAGCACACTGAATTGTGAGTCAACATTTCCCTTTTAGTATAAAAACAATAGCATATAATTATTTAACTGAAGGAGGTTTTAGGAGATAACCTAAGAAAACTCTTGATGCAGACATGACCGTCCATTTCAGGTAATTTCGTATAGGGTCCATTGCCTTCTGCAGGCCGTCAACACAACACAACTCTCAAATTTTGCCTCTGATTTCTGTGATTACCAACAAGCTGAACACATCTCCAGGACAGTTTGGCTCCAGTTTGGCTCAGTTTGGCTCCTCTGGTCATAAGCTGAGTGACATTCTATAACCATCTTTGCTGTAACTGGTTTTCTGGAATGGATCTAGCTGTCAATCTTTACTCCAAAAGTGTTCCCAAAGTCAGTCTTTTCCCCTAGTATAGATTATTAGGCAGGGATTCCTCTGTGCTGCCAGGAAACTTCAGATTAAATTTTTTAAAATGCAAGAAAAAGCCTTAGGGCACAATTGGACACCCATTTGCTGCTCTAAGAATGGAGTGTTTGTTTGAAATTGGTGCTCCATTGCTAAAGTTCAAGAGGAACTTAAAAAAAAAATCAGTGTTTGAAAGATCCAATTTCCTTGTACTTTTGGTCAAGGGTTCATAGCTACTTCTGTTAGAAAGAGCATTAACTTACCTTAGCAAAAGCAAAAAAATTTAAGACCAGTGGATTCCTTTTCTCCATCTATTGATTCATCAATAACTTTCTTCTGAAACCATCTGTGCCTTTGTATCCAAGAGCCTCATTCCCTACTTATTTGGCCTTTACAATCTCAAGTGCAAATAATAAATACTGAACTCCCAGAACACCCTTCCAAATATTCTTTGCTCCTACTTAGGCTTGCTTCAAATAATACTTCTTTGGCTTCTGATTAACAATTCTCTCATGTGTGCTCTCACAGAACACTGTCTCCCCACCGCCATCTGCCTCTCTCCTGCACCGAGAATGGAGCACTCACCACTTTCTATTACAGTGGTTGCATGAGTTTGTTTCCAGCTTAGCCTCTGAGCTCCAGATAGACAAAGGACCATGTTTTACTCACCTTTGAATTTCAAACCGCAGCATAGTATTTAACATATACTAGGTGTTCCATAAATTGATTTCCTGAATTGAACTGTACTGACAAATTGTAATTCAGGACATGTTAATTACTGGCTAAGGCCAGGCCTCAACAGAGGACAGCAGTGAAGTGAAGTAATTAACCAGATCACTGAGGGAAAAAAATGCGAATTTGGACAAAATGAGTAAGCAAAATTTTGCCTAACTGAACTAATCCATCATTTCATTGCAATGCGTAGCTTTCCTAATGGAAATCTGACCTCTCTGGGGCAGTCCTTTTCTCTCCTTGCATTGTGTTATAACTGAGCCACCTGTTTAATACTGATGCTGAACATATCCTACACCTCTTACACACAGGACAAAAATTGCATCCTAATCCTTGTCAACTGTCTAATGGTAGTGTCATTGGTTCCAAGTAGGGTCAACAGAGGGCAGTGTGTTGATGGTTCTATGAAAGCCCTGATTGGACCCACATTTTGAAGAGCACACCCCACTAATAGAGTCACTGGAATCTTCTTTATATACCAACGTCAGCAGCTTGCAAAACTAAATTCAACTTTTAGCACATGGTTTCTCCACATGAAGTCTGCGTAGTCCTATACACAAAAAGTAAGGTGCATCTCTCAGTACGTTTACCCTTTGGGAGGAAGATAAATCCTTACTGGATTTTAATGATTATTAGAGGCAGAAGATAATATTGCTTTAAAAAAAAACAGATCAACAGCTTTATTATTTATAGTGAACATATTTGTTGGCATCTTTCCTTTTCTGGCTCACTTGTACTTGGTCTAAGCAGGAAAAACAAATTACTCAACAAAGCAACAGATTAGAATTTTAAATAATTGGCTTTTAATCCTTTGTCACACTGTGATCCCATAATTAATCTCCTTATTTATATATATCTAGCTTCAGAAATGGAGAAAAAAAGGTTTTTATTGTTTCATAACAAAGTGCAATATTTAGAAAATACTTTCCATTTGTCAATTTAAATCTTTCAATTTATAAACAACGATTTAGTTGCAAATAACTAAAAAAGATACACTGGATACATAATATTCAAAATTAACACTGTCTAGAATTTGTTATTCTGTACAGGCTTCAAAGTGGGGGACAAGTATCTTTTTAAAAAAAAATAGTGACAGGCAAGCAAAATATTTAATGACAACTTACAATCAGAGTTAGAGCTACACTACCGTAGCCAGAATAAACAAGTAGGAAAGAATGTGGAAATTAGAAAAATCTAAGTTTGAGTCTGAGCTTCGCCAGTTATGCATTTTGTGACATCAAGCAAGTCACTGAAACATTCTTAATCTTACTTTGCTCATTTCTAAAATAGAAATAATAGCTCCACCCGTATCTAATCCTGGGATTGTTTTGAGAAGAACATGAGATAACATAAATGAAAGAACTCTGGGAACTACAGAGTAACACACAATGCAAAGACATTATTATTGTTATCTTGGCATGTGCCTGTTGATGGTCATGACAGAAGCAAGGGTCTGATGTTTGCCATGAGATGTGTCGCTAATGCTCCGCAGTTAATAAACGTGATTATCATAATTGCAAATTAATTTGTGTTCGGATTCAGTTACTTGCAAGGCTGAAATGTTTGTTTTGACACCAAGTGAACAACTTATATCAATTTAAATAGAAAATATAAACAAACATATATACTACAAAGCTGTGCCAGCAAAAGACTTTAGTGCACATTCCTTCAAATTAAAAGAGTTCTTTTCTCATCTGACTTCCTACTCACTCGTGTAGGGCAAACTTGTTATCAAATGTCAATCATTTTATTAAATTGACTGTGAAAAGGCTGAACTTCAGACATAGATGTTTTTCAGCCATAGGATTCCTTGAGTTCCTTGCTGGAGATGCAATTTAGCAACGCCTGTTCAGGAGTTTTGTTTTCTTTTTTCTTAAAAGAAAAGATAAAGTGATCAGTGCATAAATTTAAATTGGTGTGGATAAAACCAGGTGGTAAATTTCAGAACCTATATAGCAAACGGAAAAAGCCCTAGACCAGGCATGCACTTATTTACACTTTACGATGGGAGTCGGGAGCTAACCCAGGTATAATCCACTATGTTTTATGTAACAGGAAAGCACGCAGAAGATACTAGTCATCTCCCTAAAGACTAGACGTCCTAAAAAAAGAAGCAATCTTCAACTAGCTTTCCCTTTTGTGAACTACTAACATATAAGATGCAGTTTTAGCTTCAAGTCATAGCTCTTTGTAAAGATTCTGTCACACCACCAGATATAATTTTTGTTTTTCTACATATCATTAGTTTTCAATTATTTTCAATAACTCTTTTCCCACACTATTATAAGTTGGCTAGACAAGGTAGAGACATCACCATAGTTCTCTGGGTTTTCTAAAAATGATTATTCTCCAATAAACGTATTTATGGAGATTCTTGGCCAAGCTGGTAATTTCCCAAATGTCTTTCTTACTGGCAACAAAATCTCCAACTTAGCTTGTTATTAAAAAATAGGTGCCAAAAGGAGCTCCTTGTCGCCACCAACTGTAAATTCCACATATTTTTGCATCTAAATAAACAATGAGATTAGATCATCTATGTAGCTTATACCCCAACCCAAACCAGCATCCAAAGTAAAACTATTTTGTGAAATATTGTGGTATTATGTGAAGGAAAACAAAGTGTCCCATACTCAAGTAAGTTTGGAAAACACTTACGAATTAAACATTTCTTTTCTGTTGAATTTATCAGAGCTGCAAAATGCTATTATGTATTGTGACAGTCTAAAAAAGTATTTACAAAATTTATTTGACCATGAAACTTTTATTCAAGGGCCTCTAAAAACCTGGAAGAGATGCAGTTAAGAAGTGCTGGTCTATGATATGGCAAAAACATGTCAAAGAGATTGTTATTTAAATAATAGTTGTCCCGTGTGTGGCTAATTCTACTTATGACAATCCATGTGGCCACAGAGAACCTACTGTCTTGCCAGGCTCCATTTATTTAAAGACTACATACAGACTTCTTTGAGAGGAGAAAAAACGGTGCTAACAATTCTAAGAATTTTTTTCCCAAGTAACAGCAATCTTAGGAAATTGTTTAAGCTACCATCTCCATGAAGTCACAAGGTCCTAATATTGTCTCACCTTATTTTCATTGAGGGGAGCAGGGACAGCGTGTTTATTGAATTACAAGAACCAGGTTACAAACAACAAAATACTGATGCAATCTCATTTCTACTAATTCTAGGGGAACTGGATTCACAATTTAAATGAGAACATACTATAGCATGTCAGAGACTTCTAGGGATAATGACTTGACAGCTAATACATCTATTATCTAGCTACTTTGTAAATCATATTTGAATTCAAATTTCCTATCTGTGTCTCTGATATTCATTTCCCTAGTTTCCAAGATGGTTTAGTGATGATACAGCTGATGACAACTGTTAGATGACCGTTTCTGCTACTATAGAAACTCAAATCAGGCATTGACCTCAGAAGACTATTCTTATAATCAGAATACTGATGATGAGCTTTGAGGTTTTTGTTTTTGTATTTTTTAAGGGCAGTGGGAAGGACCTAGATTTTATCTCTTTGTGGAAGTTCCTCTTTTCCCTGAGCTGAAGCAGAGGCTCCCACAATACTACAGTAGCTCCGGAGTGTGCTCAGCGGCTGTGGCAGCTCAACCATGCAATTTTATAGCAGGCAGCAAACAAGGCAGAGAATTCAGGGTTAAAAACTCAAGTGAAGTTTTGTCTTCTACAGTAATGAAAGCTGACTAAAAGAGTAAATCAAATGGATCTCCTAACAAAATGAAAACAGCTGTTTGGCCTGGCTTGGTCTCTGATTTAGGTTAAGTAATTATTGCTCTAGTGCGGTTCAAGGTTGTTCTGTATTAGTGAAATAAGATATCACATGAAAATCATCCAACTTTTTAATTTACTGTAGCATCAGAAATTCCACTGCATAAAAAACTCTAGAAACGTAATCTTCTAAAAACTTTACCTATAAACCTTTTCAAATACCAATTGATTCAATCTTCCAAGACATAATTACATGATACACAATTACATTATAGTAATAATCTTTAGTATCTAAACTAAGAAAACATTTTAATATTTTAACTTTAAAATGCTAAATTTTTTCAAATTTTACTGAAGTGATATATTATATCCAAATTCTTAAATAACTGTAAATATTTTTTTGTAAGGAGACGTGTGTATAAACAGCAAACAATGAAAAGCTACTTTCTGAGCCCCAAAGAAGCCTATACTTACAGTGTAAATCTTTTTTTTAATTCAACATTGGTATACCAATAGTGGTTGAGAAGAAAAAAAATTATAATGAAAAAGCACAGCAAAGCAATAGCATTGGGGAAGAGGTTTCTGTATCTAACACTAGTCAGTAAAATTATTCATGTCACTTCAAATTCTACTTCTTATTTGCTTTTCATTCTTCTATCACCATCATTAGTGTCACTTCTCTTGAATTGAAGCACTTTATTTCTGCTTCAGCTTGCCAATTATAACAAAGGACAAATCAATGGTAGGTTGGTGATGGTATCTTTTTATTGATGTTCCAGTATTTATTTTTAAATAATAAAAACCTAAAAATATTATCTGATGCAAGACAGTGAATTCCTGAAGAAAACAAGACTGTAAGTTTTGGTCACCTTTTCTGGCTGTTAACCACCATTACAACCCTGGATGGATGCTTAGATGTATGAATAAAAAATAACATTAAAGTATTTTTGAACAACAAATATTGAAATTATAGGATAACGTTTCTTCAATGGTGACATCTTTAGAGCATTTTTTAATGCACTTGGGTACATTCAACTCAGTTCCCAATGAAAGAGAGTGACAGAGAACATTACATCAGAAAATTAATATTTTGAAGAAAATTACTTAAGTGGTTTAAAGCCCAGGGAAAAGTCTCAGATGTTCTTGTTATAGCTATTATTGTTGGACACATAACATGACATATTTACCTTTCCAGTGGGATATAGTTTTGTAGGTTTCCTAAGTCTAAATAGCATTTCTCACTAGTCCTTGCCAATTATTCTAACTAGTACTTGCCAGCACATCAGAATAACAGAAACAAGAGAGTTAAATGTTTTATTCTCCAATATGTTTCCACATTATGATCTTTCTTTGGGGTCAATGTTCCTTAAATAAGTGGCTATATCATATTCAGAGTTTTGATTCAGAAATTGTCTTGTGGAACTAGATCAACAATGCACAATTTGCCTAAGGATTAGAGAGGAACTCAATGACAAGCAATATTTAAAAGGAAGGTTTAATTTTTTCCTTTCAGACAGTTAATGTAAATGCTACTAACTGAGATCTTCAAAAATGATAGAGCACATGAAGCCAGTCTACATTCTTAGCAGTCTGCAATCCAAGGAGGGTTAAAGAGGAATGGTCCTACCCCTTTGCAGACTCCATATTTCTTTTTTTCAAGAAATATAAAGCTTGCTGTTGTTACTGCATAAGTCTTTGTGAATAGGCAAATGTAATTAACTCAATTTTACAACGAAAGCTGGGCATACTCAGTGCCACTTAAACAGTGCATCTTTAATTTCTGAGTCAAAATATAAGGTCAAACTCTACTCAGTTTTCAGCAGCCATGTTTCCACCAGTAGTGTTAGCACAGTACTTACAGACAGAATCCCTCTGCTGAAAAGAGGGGATCCCTCCCTGGAAGTCACTTGTCTTACTCTGAAATACAGTTGGCCTTTCAGCAAGATAGGGAGTAGGGGCACCAACACCCCCACACAGAAGAAAACTGGTATATAGCTTTTGACGCCCCCAAAACTTAACTACTAATAGCCGACTTTTTTTTTTTTTTTTTTTTTTTTGAGACAGATCCTCACTCTGTCACCCAGGCTGGAGTGCAATGGCATGACCTCGGCTCACTCCAACCTCTGCCTTCCAGGTTCCAGTGATTCTCCTGCCTCAGCCTCCCAAGTAGCGGGGATTACAAGCGTGTGCCACCATATCTGGCTAATTTTTTTATTTTTAGTAGAGATGAGATTTCACTATGTTGTCCAGGCTGGTCTCAAACTCCTGACCTCAAGTGATCTGCCTGCCTTGGCTTCCCAAAGTGCTGGGATTACAGGCGTGAGCCACTGCACCTGGCCGAATAGCCTACTCTTGACTGGAAGCCTTACCAATAACATGAACAGTTGACTAACACTTTGTATATGTATTATATAAAGAAAAGAAAATGTTTTTAGGAAAATCATAAGAAAGAGAAAATACATTTACTTTTCATTAAGTGGAAGTAGATCATCATAAAGGTCTTTATCTTCATCATCTTTATGTTGAATAGACTGAGGAGGAAGAGGAAGAGGGGTTGGTCTTGCTGTCTCTGGGGTGGCAGGAGGCAGAAGAAAATCCACACAGAAATAGACCTGATCAATTGAAACCCGGGTCGTTTGAGGGTCAACTGTACTTCTTTTGAGTCCCTGATCTCTCTCTAGCTCTCAGTTACTCATGATATTCCTCCACCTGGGGTATCACCCCTTGAATAATCTTTTAGTTGCCACATCTTCATGAGTTCCAGCTTGGGAACAAATGTTTTCTGAATCTACACTGAAAAAGTCTTGCACCATGTACATACTTTCCATTTTTTCTGGATTAGCCTCCTAAGATATTATATACCTTGCTAGTTCCTTCTTTTTGACAGAATTCCCGGGACGAATCTAGTAGAATCTAAGAAATGAGCATCAGTGATTAATTTTTTGGTGTAAAAGGTTATGTTTGTGACCTAGCATTCAGCTTCAGAAAGAACACACTATAAAAACTGAGGGCCTCATATCATCAGTTTGTACTCGTTGGTAAGTGTTCCTAAAATCAAAGAAACCCCTAGCTGATCAGGTTGAATATAGGTTACAGTCCTGGATTTTCTGAGTTTAGTCAAGGGTCTCTAAATTGTAGCAGTCAATTGGCACCAGGTGGCCCAAGGAATCAACCCTCCCAAGGATGCTTTTCTACCTCCTTTGTTTCCTTTATCATTCACTTTTACCCTGAGATTGTGCAGGAAATGGGAATTTCCAAAGATTGGCATTTCAAGGGATATGGAATTCCAAAGATTGGCAATCTTTAAGCCACTCCTTTGCCTTCTACCTCATTTTCCTCAGGACTCTAAAACAGAGCAATTTCCAACAACCTACAGCCTTTCAAGGCAGCAAGCCCTTCTGCGCATGTTTACTAAAGAATGGCATGAAACTTTGTATAGAGACAAGATGAGATAACAGGCTATCCTAAGGAATATTTGCACTTAAAAGTTGAACAGTGTTCAACAGTGTTCAAACAATCACACAGTTTACACCCTTGCAGTCAACCATTTCAAAGCATATGTTCCATTCATTTCTCCTTTTCCTCTTAAAGCCTTTCATGAAAAAATTTTTAAAAAAGAATCTTTGGCTCAAAGCAGCAAAGTAAATCTTTACTTCAAGTTATTTTCTTAAATATTATTTTCATGTTAGGTTTTTAAAATTTAGAATATAAAATGTGGCTTATCATACAAACATCTATAATAAAACTTCAGTAGAAGGCCTTGCAAAGCTCTTTAGGGAACTATTTGTTCCACACTAACTTACAGGTTACTTTATATCACAGGTATCTCATTACTTGATGTTGGCAGAGATGTGAGACAACTTCTCAGCTTTCTTATCCTATGAATACTGGTAACCATATCGAAAGCTAGGGCCTTTACTAGATTAAGTTCAGCCATAAATTTAACCTATCAGAATCTTTTGTAGTAAAATATTCACTCCTACTTTCAAATTATAGGATTCTTGAATTGGAAAGGACCTTAGAAACTATCATTCCACAGCCATCATTTTACATATGAGGCTACTGAAGCCTTCAAAGATGAAAGGACTCACCCAAGGTCACACAACTGGTTGGGAGATGAGCCCAGACTGGCTCTTTCTTTTTCTTTGGGAAGTAATGGTAAAACAACCACATTTTAAAAGAGATTTAATCTCACATTGTACGTAGAAAAGACAAAGATGGGCTCCTTAAAGAATTCCCAGTTCCTAAAATTAAGCATTTCAGTCCTCTCCTCTTTAGCACTTTTAAGCAATACCAAACTCAGTCACAGCGTTTGCTCATTCCCATTCAACATTCCTATTTCTTTCATTGTAGGCCTTCCCCATCATTTTTCCCATATAGCTATCTACATGTTATATTTGAAGAAATTAAAGTACTACAGAAAATATTACATATAAATCACAAGGATTATTTTTATGCGATAAGATATTTAAACATGCTTTCTGAATTCCTAAAATAAGTGCTTAGGCCATAATTAAAAATGAATCCAAGCTGGGCGCGGTGGCTCACGCTTGTAATCCTAGCACTTTGGGAGGCTGAGGCTGGTGGATCACGAGGTCACGAGATCGAGACCATCCTGGCTAACACGGTGAAACCCTGTCTCTACCACAAAAAAAATAAAACTAGCCGGGCGTGGTGGCGTGTGCCTGTAGTCCCAGCTACTCGGGAGGCTGAGGCAGGAGAATGGCGTGAACCCAGGAGGTGGAGCTTGCAATGAGCGGAGATTGTGCCACTGCACTCCAGCCTGGGCTACAGAGCAAGACACTGTCTCAACAACAACAACAAAAAAATGAATCCACAGGAGGCTGAGGCATAAGAATTGCTTGAACCCGGGAGGTGGAGGTTGCAGTGAGCCAAGATCATGCCAGTGCACTCCAGCCTGGGCAACAGAGTGAGACTCTGTCTCAAAAAAAAAAAAAAAGGGAGAACAGATGAAACAAGATGGGGAAATTTGTAACTGTCATTATAATTTAATTATAATTGTCATAAAATTAGAACTGGCAATGGATATGTGGAGTTTACTATACTATTCAGGAAAATTTAGCATTTTTCCTAATAAAATGTTTATTTAAATTACCAATCTGCGTACCGCCCTTTGGAAGAAAAACAGTTCCTAAGTTTCAATGTACACAAGCAGACTGTTACAATGAAGAGTAAACAGGTAAGGGAGATTTCAAATAAAGTTTTCCATCTTTTTAAAAAAATTGTTATTAAAAAAGAACACATATGAAATTTACCAACTTAACCATCTTTAAGTGTACAGCTCAGTAGTGTTAAGTAGATTCACATTGTTGTGCAATATATCTACAGAACCTTTTCATCTTACAAAACTAACACTCTATACCCACTAAACAACAGCTCTCCGTTTCCTACTCCAGCCCCTGGCAACCACCATTCTACTTTGTTTCTATGAATTTTACTACTTTAGATACCTCATAAAAGTGGAATCATACTGTCTTTTTGTGACTAGCATATTTCACCTAGCATAATGTCCTCAAGGTTAATCCATGTTGTAGCACATGACAGGATTTTAATCTTTTTAAAGGCTGAATCACATTCCATCCTACGTATATACTATATTTTTAAAATTTGTTCATTAGTTGATAGACATTTGGGTTACTTTCACCTGAAAATCTTCATCATAACATAATATTTTTGGAGGAAACTGAAGTATAAGGTACTATAAGAAAAATTCAGCTAAGCAGCAATAATAAAGAATGGATATGCAGTAACTGGAACAAAGTCCATCCATCAGCTATTATCAACTTGATATCCATCCTCCAGGGCCTAGAAGAAACTTAGCACACCTAGTGAAAATCAGTCTATGGGTCTGTAAGAGATTACATTTGTTATTTATCTACTTTTGTTTTCTAATCCTCCTTATTTTAGTACTCCTTTTGATGGGATATTTATTCAAAGGATATTGATGGATATGAATATATTTTTATTCCCTCAGTCTGTGGATATGGCTGTAAGAGATGTAGCTTGACTGGGAAGAGGGTACGTGGATGGTTGAGGATTAGAAAGGTGCCAAATTATTCAGATTTTTAATTTTTTTGATTAATAAAAATAACATTTACATCTCAAAGTTATAAAAGGAACTTGCTGTTACAGGTATTCCATGGTTTATTTTGGTAATGGATTTGATAAACCATTTGATTTCCAAGAAGCTGAACACTTGTGTTCCATTTAGCAATTTGGAATAAGGTTCCCAAATGGCACTATGATATTCTGGGATTCTGGGGAGGTCACAATTTTGCTTTTTTTTTTGAGATGGAGTCTCACTCTGTCGCCCAGGCTGGAGTGCAGTGGCGCAATCTCGGCCCACTGCAACCTCTGCCTCCCGGGTTCAAGCAATTCTCCTGCCTCAGCTTCCTGAGTAGCTGGTACTACAGATGCCTGCCACTACGCCCAGCTAATTTTTTGTATTTTTAGTAGAGACAGGGTTTCATCATGTTGGCCAGGCTTGTCTCGAATTCCTGACGTTCAAGTGATCCACCCACCTCAGCCTCCCAAAGTCCTGGGATTATAGGCATGAGCCACCGTGCTTGGCCTATTTTATAATTTATTAGAGAGAATAAACCCACTATAAAGGATGAAACTCTTTGGATGATCGTTCTCTGTCTGATCGTATATGGGATAAAGTCCATCCAAAATCACTTGGGCACTGAGAAACCTCTGCTATCTTATCTGGATCCACTTTTGTACTTTGTATTTTACCTCTAGTTCACTTTCTCCGTTCCCACTCCCACTCCAAAGGATCACCAATCCCCTGGGCTCATTAAATTTCTGGCTTGGATTATGTGGAGTGATTAATGGCAGTGGGCCTGGTACATGTGGAGGTCAGCGTGCTGAGCATCCTGCATGTCAGCGACAAAAACACCCGCGTGCATCCACCAACTCACTCTTCGCCTCCACAGCCACAATTTATTCATCCCAGAGTACACTCAACCATCTGCTATTTATTTTGTTTTCTTTAAGCATTATTTCCTTCAATTTGCTAAGCCAGGGCACAGGTGAAAAGTGGTAAGAAGCAAAGGGGAGCTGTTGTTGATGGACACAGGAGGGGTGAGTTGAGCTCCCCATGAGGAAGAGCATTCGGCTCCACAGAAAGGGCCTAACCGTATTGCTGAATACTTAAATCCCTGCCTAATAGGAGCATTTGGGCCAGGCCCAATCATAACTAGCTAAGGCTAGACTCCTGGGGTGAGGAGTGTAAAGCTGGTGAGTTTTAAGCATCCTTAATAGTAGCCCTGTAATAAACTGATGCTCTGAATCTTTGCTAGAGTCTGCACAAGACTGGGCTATAAATTTTACATTTGGCAAAGTGACTCATAAAGAAACACCCACCTGATTTCAGACACGCATTTTTGGCAGTCAGGGCACTTGCTAAATTAGCTATGGTTCTGTTTTTAGCTGCTTTCTTTCTCTGCTGAAAATACGATGATTCTATCTGGACAGTACAGTTTCACAACTCAGTCCTCTAGCGCTGCTTACTAGTCCATCTTTTGGACTGGGAAATACCGGAGTTTGCTTCCTTTTTAAGTGCCGAAAACACTGGAACACATTTTATTATTATCAGTTTTAATCTATAAGGTTCTGGCCCTGTGAGTTGTTTTCTTCACGAGAGTAGCTATAATAAATGGATTATCAAAATGCATTTGAGCTAACAATCTCTGTTATTACAGAGTGATAAAAACATAAAACCACTTTTTCATCAGGAAGAGGTGAAGTGTCTCTTGTCTGGGGAGGTCCAGTGTTGATTTGAGGAACTTGGGTCAAGCTGGTATTTGACCTTTGGCAGGAGGCTGCCCTGGGTCTTATATTCTCAACAAACTGGGCCCAAGACAATAGTGTGCTTTATAGCCCAGAGCCCGATCACTGTGTTTCTCCAAGGAAGACCTCAAGCTGAAAAGCCAACATGCCTGACAACCACCATCAAGGTACCAAGGGCATAAGCACTAGACACTGGAAAACAAATGGAAAAGCACACACAGCTACATCTGGAATCCTAATGGGCCGCCAATGGTTCCCAGCTAAAGGAAGAATTACCCATGTTATTTTATCATCCCTTGCGCTAACTTTGCTGTTTATGTACAGCAATAAATGATTTTTTAAAAACATATTTGGGTCATTATGTCATATACCACCAGCAAGTAAGGTTGTTTTATTGTGCTTGGAGTCAAAATACACTGCTATACCCAGATGTACGGGAAGTTTAAAAATCTCTTGTCCTTCTGTATTCATTTCTCTTGGACAAATGAGTTAAGTTTTTAAAAGGAAAATTGAGAATTTTTATGGCTTTTACTCCCACCTTGCCAGTAAAATTTGCACCAGTATTTTTCTACCCAGCAAAGGTGCCTGGCCAATGATAACACTAAATACAAATGCAGAAAGCCAAACATCTTCCAACCAACAGGAAATGCCAGAGATTTTTTTTTCCTTTTTTGGAACACTTTTAGCAAGTTGGATTCTTCTGCCAAGGCTGTGCTATAATCAAAAAGTAGCTGCAGATCAAGAATATGAAGTGAAACCTGGAGGTTCAAGCCAATTCTTCCCATACAATGATATGTGAATTTCTACCTTTATTTCTGCTTGCTGCAAGCAGTTTTAAATTTCACCTGCTCTATTAAGCCTTTTAACACACACAGTAAAACTTAGCGCAACATGTTACATTTTCTGAGTTAAAAAAAAAATTCCTGGCTGGGTGCGGTGTTTCACACCTAAAATCCTAGCACTTTGGGAGGCCGAGACAGGGTAGCTTGAGTCAGGGAGTTTGAGACCAGCCTGGTCAACATAGGGAGGACCCGTCTCTATTAAAATTTAAAGATAAATAAATAAAAATTCCAAAATGCCTAACCCTTTATCATAATGTGTTATTTTGCACACTCCACAATCAATAGATATGGTTTATTTTTCTACCCATTCCCCACACTTCCAAAATTTTGAAGTTCAATTCACCCAAATCTGCTAAATCTTCTTCCATTCCATTATGATATGAATAAGGGGAAGTGGTTTCTCAACATGAATAAAGTGAAAGACTACATACATCAGGGGAGAAGAAAGCCTGAGAAAAGCAGATGTTCAAATGTGGATCTTGACTGACCCATCATCTACCCGGAGAATGAGTTCTTGTGTGAGTGTTTAGTTTCTGAAGCGGAGGATGCTGGCTTTCCTGTTTACTTAGCTAGCCCTGTCACTGGGTTACAGGTGGCCTGGAAAGAAGATTTAGGAAATATTTTCTCTTCATAAATGAACATCAAATTATTTTACAATGTGCCCTGGTACATGCATCATTGACAGGTTGGAGGCCAAAGACAATCTCAAATAAAGCAGAGGCTGGGGCGGGTGTGGGGGGACCCTGATTGTGAGTCAGGAAGAGAAAAAACTGTTTCCAAGTTATTTCTAAATTTTCACACAATTTACTAAGAGATGAGTCATTGTACTCTTTAGCCTGGCAAACATTCCACTCCAAATCCCCTTCCTCGGCAGAATTTCTAAGTTTTGGTTATTCTTGCATTGCAGCTGACTTTCACCTTTTCAGGGGATCCTCTTCAGTATCCACTATTGAGTTTCCTGGAAGCATCACCATGATTCTTACTTTTGCTATTAATGATCAGTCTTTTTAAAAAAGCATTCTTTCAACTTGATTCTGAGTTTCACCTGAATCCTCTACACGAGAAAAGCTTAACATCACCAGGGTTGCTTTCATATGGAAGAAGCCATTACTTGAAATTTATCAATTGAGTTTGGAATTCCTCCTGTTTTCTCTCTCTCTTTTTCATGCTATTTATATTCATTGTTTTCTTTTATCCTATTTAAAAAATTTTTTTCACCAAACTTCAGTGGTGAATTTGATTTCTCCCCTTTTTTCTTGCTTATGTTCTGACCCTGCCCTCCCTGACACATTTCAGCAGTATCTTATTCTTTACATATTTCACATTTGAGGAGCATTTTAGTCTCTTGCTTGTACCTCTACATTCCCCAGCCCAGAAGTCTTCGCAGATCATTGATGTCAAATCATGTCCCTCCTTCTTCAGAATGCTGCCAGGAATCATCTCCCAAACTAAACCCATATGGCTCTACTCAACCAGAATCACTTCAACAATCCTGTTTGCACATTGACAGGAGAAATCGCTTGGGAAAATGGTTCTGTATGCTGCAGATGTTTATATTTTTCTGAAGATTCCTCTGCTTCTGTTCTTTTGTTCTTTCCTTTGCATTTTGCCCTTACTTAAACTTAAAGCTCCCTGTGGGTATGGAATAACTTTATACCCACATACTTTTTGTGTGTTTCTAAAGTTCTCAGTTCAGCGCTTATTGTGCTATGAGGAGAAGGATCAAGACAAATGACCACCTTACTGAACTGAAGTCTGAAATTGCTTTCCTGGCTGCCATGCCCTTTGATGTAGGGTAGCTAAACAGATCTTAAATGACACTCATTGTCCTTTGTTCTTATCTAAGCATACTGGTTACCTCCATGGGGCTCAGAGTTTCTGAGGTGACATAAGGTATACCTACCTTATATTTGTTGGTAGAAAAATGAAGAATAATAGGGTTGGCAAAATTATAACTTTTGAAAAATTTGTCTTTCTGCCTCTAGCCTCTCCTTCAGCATTTCTGAAAGTCCTCTCCCCTTTCCCAAACTCAGGTTATTATTTGCCTTCTTAATTTCTAACTCCTCCAAATAAAAACAGCAAAATGTGACATATTATTTCTACTTGAAAATTAATTTTCATGAATACATTCAGTCTTTTAAGAGTTTTCTGTTTTAACTCTTAAATTCCTATTTAAGGAATAGGAGTTTCCTATTATGAAATAAAAGTTTCTATCTCCTGATAGAGGAATTTGACACAAATTCAGGAAGTCAGAAGAACATTGTTGGGAGGTAAAGAGAGGGGGATAGTCTTTTCCTTGGCCCTAAAATTATGCTGCATTTAATTCCAATTTTGCAGAATATAGACTAAATCTGCTTTAGTTGTTAGGGGTGCTTTTCTTAGTAAGGGACTAGCGAGTATCTTCCTTCCCATTTTCCTTGATACCAAGATTCTTGTGCCTAAGATTTGCTGAAGCCTGACGTCCTGTGGCCCCAGCCGACCAGGGTCTCCTAGCCTGGGTCTTCTAGCCTCACTGTCATTCATCCACCTCCATCATCCCCGACACCATACAGGCCACATAGACAAAGGGATGCCCTTCCCCAGCCCCCTCTTTGCTCCTTCTAGAATGTCATGCATAATCACAGTATCCAAAGTTTTAGTTACTTCCAATACCCCAAACAATTGCATCTGACACCATCTTAGGAGCAGAGAACAGTTGCTAAGCAGCTATCAAGTAAGGAACAAGGATGGTACGGTGAGGGGTGGGTGCCACTGTCAGACAACCCTGTTGTTAGCAGATAGGATCCTGCCTTTTCGCCTAATCATTGACAGTATGTTGCAAAATACTGAAAGGCATTCATTGATGCAGCCTGTCTTATAAGCATTGTTTTTAACTGAGGTATAATTGACATGCAACAGACTGCATATATTTGAAACATACAAATTGAAAAATTTTTTGACATTTGTATACTCCTGTGAAAACATCATCACAATTCAAGATACTAATAAACATATTCATCACCCCCAAAATGTATTCATTCCCTTTAGTACATCCCACTCCCATTCCTGCTTCTCCCTAGGCAACCACTGATCAGCTTTTTGTCACTATAAATTAATTTTCATTTCCCTAAACTTTACATAAGTGGAATAATACAGTATATACTTTTTTGTCTGACTTCTTTCTCTGAGCATAATTGAGATTCATCTATGTTGTTGAAGGTATCACTACTGCATTTGTTTTATCACTGAGTAGTCTTTCATTGTATGGATGTGTCTATCAAGAGGCATTTATTGAGCCTCTTCTAAGTGGCAGGTACTGTGCTAGACACTGGAATATACAGTCACTAAAGGCTATGTGCCAGCCCTCAAGGATCTTATTTGGTGTTTAACACAGAGACAGATAAGTAACTTGACAATTACTGTAGAGCTTAATCTATGCCATGAGGGAGATAATCACGGAGGTTTGGGAGCCTTATTAAAGACCATGTAAATCAGACTTGAGGCTAAGCTTGAGGCAGGTTTTGGTGGATGAGTTGAAAGTAGTTACAGGGGGCTGGGCGCTGTGGCTCACGCCTGTAATCCCAATACTTTGGGAGGCCTAGGCTGGTGGATCACCTGAGGTCAGGAGTTCAAGATCAACCTGGCCAACATGATGAAACCCCATCTCTACTAAAAATATAAAAAAAAAATTAGCTGCGTGTGGTGGCAGGCACCTGTAATCCCAGCTACTCGGGAGGCAGGAGCAGGAGAATTGCTGGACCCCAGGAGGTGGAAGTTGCAGTGAACCAAGATTGAGCCACTGTACTCCAGCCTGGGCAACAGAGTGAGAATCCAAGAAGAAAGAAAAAAAGAAAAAGAAAAAGAAAAAGAAAGGGAGGAAGGGAGGAAGGGAGGGAGGGAGGGAGGGAGGAAGGAAGGAAGGAAGGAAAGAGAGAGAAAGAGGAAGGAAAGGAAGAAAGGAAGAGGGGAAGGAAGGAAGGAAGGAAGGAAGGAAAGAAAGAGAGAGAGAGAGAGAAAGAAAGAAAGAAAGAAAGAAAGAAAGAAAGAAAGAAAGAAAGAAAGAAAGAAAGAAAGAAAGAAAAGAAAAATTAGTTACAGGGTGAGGTCAAAGAGCTACCAGCAGTTCTATGTTGACTGGCATGGGTAGAGGGAGCTGACGAAGCTAGTGAGAAGGACCTTTCATGCTGGGTAAGAAGTGTAAATTATATCGTGAGACTTATTGAAGGCATCTAAATAATAATAAAAAATGACATAATTAAATTTACTTTTTCTGTGTAGAGTGAATTAGAAGAATACAAGACCAGAGACACCAACTAAGAGGCTAACAAAGTAGCCCAGATGAGAGGGGATAGAGCCTTAGACTCAGATGGTGGCTGTGGAGACTTGGAGACGTGGACAGATGAGAAAGAAAGTGACAGAGACAGGAAATAGAAATCTAAAAGTGATTGATAAATGTGTGGATGAGAAACAGGAAAAAGTTGCAAAGATTTCCATGTTTGAGGCTTGAGCAACTAGATAAATAGAAAATAGCTTAAGAAGTGAAAGTAGCTTTGAGGAAGATGATAAATTCATTCTAATATTGTGAGTTTGATGTTGTATGAGACATTCAGAGAAAAAAGTCCAGAATTTAGATGGATGTAACTGTGCAGGAGTTTAGAGATAATGATATACTTTTCCTCATATTTATAGGCTTGCAGGAGGAAGAAGATAGAGAGTGAAAAAGAATAAAAAGCTTAAAATTCAGTTTTTGGAAATGCTGCCTTTGTGGGGAAAAAGATAGCTCATATATCTTATCATATATTTAATTTTACTCCTTAATTTGTTTGCAAATTCCTGAAGGAAGGCAGTGGAGGGGATGTGCCTTAAACTTTCAGTAACCAAGTGCCTCTAACAGAGAAGGGGCTCAGAACTAATTCATTATTTGCATATTTGAACTTAAAAATATAATCAATCTGTATCTATAATTAGCCATCTGTTAAAATGACCCATGTGCATTATCAAAATGCTACAAAGCTGGGTGCAGTGGTGTATTCCCGTAGTGCCAGCACTCTGGAGCCTGAGGAGTGAGGATCACTTTGAACCCAAGAGTTCAAATCCAGTCTGAGCAACATATCAAGGCCCTGTCTCTAAAAAGAAAAAAAAAATGTTACAGCAATTGGTTTAGAAGTACCTGGGCATGACTTATCAGCAGCACATAGATGTGATCTATTTCTGTTGAGTAAGAGCAACAATTCCTAGTTACAGAACTTTCTAATATTTAACTAAATATATAAAAGAGAAGAGTGCCTCTAGTTGCAAATATAGTAATGTGTCTAGAGCAGAATCCATGACAGTCAAGTCCAGCCATGTGCTTAAATATGTAGCTAAACAAAAATTCAGACAGAACATCTTGCTGTTTCTGAACATGATGTAGAATTTAGCAGATGACAAGGTGGATACATTTTTGCTTAAATGATTAGGAACTCCAGTTCTCTCAATAGCACTTCCACAAAGACTAGGAAAGCCTTCCTAATCCAAATTAAATCTAAAGATTGTAAATATTATTCCATCTTTAAACTAGATTAACTTGAGGTAAATGGCTGTAAGGAGGTCAAGAAAGCTCCAATGAATCAATCCTCATTTTTCTCACCACATCAAGTGGAGAAGCTGTGATTTAAGCAATTTCTGCTAGGAAAAGTGCTTCCCGTGTAAGTTTTTTCCTCAATGATCTCTCTCCCATAATACATTACGGGGTAACCTTTACTTGCCATAGAAAAACAGACATGTGAATTTGATACTCTCAGCTTGTTTATATGTTTTTAAAGCTGGCGAGCAAACAGAGGGCAGAATGTGAAAATTTTTGCTTCTGCTGCCACATGGCTAGCTGGAAGCCGAGTTCAGGACATAGCAAACTTTCTATTTGGACTTCCAAGAACAGCAAAAATATTGAGTTATGTTGGGGAGGGGGAAATCTTTTATTTGATATCATCAAAATTGTTTCCAAAACACCCTCCAATTTCTTCTAAGTGGAGAACCTTGCAAATGAAATAAAAACAATAAACTTAATTTTACCGACTCCAAAAGATGTCTAACAATTTTCAAAGGAATTTCTTAGACTCTCCCATTTTCTTTTTTAAAATAGAAAATAACAGTGTAGTTTAAGATCCAGGCACATTTCCTGACTCTTTACAAAAATACTCTTTAGATATAACTTGATTTAAAAATTTAATATGTAAAATATGTCTGTAGAAGATAAATTACAAAGGTATTAATTGTATTAGAAAAGCATTCTTGACATTACAAGATTCATCAACATACTAATCTCTTCAGTGAACTTCTAAAAATCAATATATTAAAGTTTGGTTCACACAGTCTTTGGGAAAACATACCTATTGTGTAAACCAGGGCATGTGTGAATTTTTAAAACAACAATGGGTCCACGCTAACCAAGCTATCATTCTCTTACCTTTTCCATTACATATTCAATTTTCTCCTAACATACTGGAGCCTGCCAACTCTGTAACACCAGGTTAAATCTTTTTCCTGCACTCCTGGCCCATATACTAAACTCTTTATGAGACATCTCCACTTGTTGAGGCCATGGAAATCCAAATTTGATGCATTCAGGACAGACAGCATCACTCCATCTCCCAACCACTTCCTTTCCAATTGATTATTTCAGGAAACTGCTGAACCAGCCACCAGTGGCCCAAGTCAGGACCCCACTGGGGTCATTCTGAAATCCTCCCCACCTTCTGCCACAGACACAACGTAAGTTCTGTTGTTTCCACCTTCTTAATGTTGCTTAAATACATCCACATCTCTCCCTCTCCACCTTTCACCTAGTTCAGACAGGACCCATTTCCTCTATACAAATGTACAGCTAACTATCCAGTTGTACTCTTCTGTAATCCATCCCCCATATCACAGCCAATGATTTAAATGAAAACTGCAATTCTGAGCAAACCATTCCTGCTTCAATTCTTGAAGAACTCCCCAGAATAAGGCCAAACTCCTTAGCATGGTCCAAAAGACCGTTCAGGATATACCTGTTTTCATTCCTCCACACACTCCAGTCTGAGCTCCAATCATAAAGTGCTACCTGCAGTCCTCTGTGAGCCCTCCTTACTATCACCTCTGGGTTTTGGCAAGCACCATTTGTTCTGCCTAATATGATTCTGCCACCCTCTTAAACTTTCCCAGTTGCCTTTGCTTACTTGCATTTTATGGCTCTTTTTGGGCTACCATCTTGCAGGAAGCTTGCCCTAGTCTCCATCCCTTACAGATAGAAGACAGTGCCCCTCTCATGTGTTCTGGAAGTTCTCTGTACCTACAAAGACTGCAGCACTCATCATCCTTTCTTTATTCAAATTGCTTGGTCACTTCTCCCATTCTTTTTTTGTTTTGTTTTTAAGAGACAGGGTCTTGCGCTGTCTCCCAGGCTGGAGTGCAGTGACAATCATGGCTCACTGCAACATCGAATTCCTGGACTCAAGTGATCCTCCTGCCTCAGCCTCCCAAGTAGCTGGAACTACAGGTGTGCACCATCATGTCTGGCTACATTTTTTGTTTTTTGTTTTGTTTGTTTTATGTTTTTTTGTTTTTTTTTTTTTTTTTGGTGGAGACATGGTCTTTTTATTAATATATTGACCAGGCTGATCTCGAACTCCTAGCCTCAAATGATCCTCCCGCCTCGGCCTCTCAAAGTGCTGGGATTACAGGCTTGAGCCATCACACCCAGCCCTCTCAAGCTTCTTGAGAAAAGGAAGTGTGTCTTGCTTTCCATTACATCCCCAGCACCAAAAACAAAGTCTGGCACATAGTAGACACTCAAGCAGATAAAGGAACAAGTAAAAGTATGTAAAGTAACACAAGCCAAGGAAATTTTCCCCATTTTGTTATTAATAATATTTTTTAATGCTCAATGTGTTTGGCTTTCCTTTTTTAATAGCCTTATAATCTTAGGTTACCAATATATATAAAATTACATAAAAGAAAAGAAAAATACAAATATTTAGCTTACTTGTCTTATTTAAATGCAAACATAAGCATGTTTCTTCTCCTGAAAACTAATAGTGGACTATTCTTTCAAACTAAAGGTACTCTTATCTATTCATAGACATTTCAGTGCAAATACACTTTGATATGTAACAAAAAGGAAATCCTGAAAGATTATAGGTAAGCATATTTTAGGAATAATATCAATATTGAATGTACCACAGGAACTTCTGCCCCTCCTATAGGAACACTGGCTTTGTATAAAGTGATTGATCATTCTCTTTAGTTTTACAAACCTGAATTTTGATGTACATTATTGGGCTTTCTTAAGGTAGATACAGTCATGGAACACTAAAAACTAAGAAAGAGTTCAGGCTTGTGAAGAAAAGAAGGCTAAATTTGGAAGCTACATAATGAAGAATATTCTCCTAACCCTGTCTTGACTTAAATTAAGAAGTGATCTCCAACTTTTTTGGTTTCTAAATTTGTGGCAAAATTCCAAAACCTGAAGATTAAGGTATTAAATTGCCATTATTTCCTCCTGGACAAAATTGCTCTAGATCAATGTCTCCCCAACATTATTCCAACTGAAGAAATCTTTTCTCTTTTCAAAATATTTTAGTGGTGATCAATATACATATAAATGTAAAAACATTTTCTTTTGGAGATGAAAAAGGGAGACAGTCTGGTTTCCCACTCTCCTCTTCCCACCCATGCTCCTTCTAAAGTGCCAAGAATTCCACACACCATGACTTTAAAACCACTTGTCAGTGAGATCTGCAATGACCTCTTTCAAATCGAAAGTTACATGATTCTAAAATATATCAGTATTTCTGAGTATGCAGTTACCTAGAAAAGCAAGGCTAAACAGTGAACTCTCTATGTTGTAAATTTCTAGAGAATATGAAAAGTTTGTGGTGTAATACAGTACAGGTATGTTTTAAATGACTACAATTACGAAGGAGAGATTTCTGGACACTGTTATAGAATTAGTAGATCCTATAACATTTCTGTAATGATATTTTAAAAATCTATTACTTTCCATTATTTAAGGGACCCTGTGAGATCACATACAGTTGAATGAAAAGACAAACTGCTGGGGAAAAAAAACTTCACTAATATTTCAAAATTGGAAGTGAAAAGAGTAGGTTTCTTCGAGAACCACAAAGTAATGACAGGAACTCAGTTTCAAGAAAGCCCAAGACATTCAGCGACTCAAAGTAATGAGCTTAATTCTCCAAAGTCTCAAGCAGTTTCCACCCCAGGGTAACAAAAACAAGAACTCATGTTTGTTTGTGTTGCAGTCTCCGTTTGGACCTGGAAGGTCAGGCTCTGAACAGCCAGGCCATTGTTCAGCATCATTCATCCTGATCGGGGTCTAGCACCTGACAAGGAATTAGAAGTCTGGGTCCTCTATCTGATTTTGTGATTGACTCACTCCAGGGTTTTGAAGTCACAATTTCTCCACTCTAGAGCATCCATGAAATGATCTTTTCCTTCTGGATGATGGAGCAATTATGGAGACTATGTTGTCTCATAGTACTTGGGAATATGCTAAGCATGGTTGTGCTAATACTCTATTAACAATGTTTTTTGTTTCAATACATAAAAACAAGTTACCACCTTACTGAGGGATTATTCTGTGCCAGGACCTGTTTTCAGTGTTTTACATAAGTTAACTTGCAGAAGCCTCACGACAACCCTATTAGTGAGGAATATGATGATCCTCATTTTACAAATAAGGCCACAAAATCACAAAGAAGTTGAGCAACTTGCCCAAAGTCACAAAGCTGGGCAGGGGAACAGCCAGAACTCCAAGGCAGGCAATCTGCCTCAAGGGTTCTTGCTCTTCACCATGCTGCAATGCTCCCTCTTTGCCGACGCTCTCAAGCTTTCCCAGATCTAGTGCTATGAGGGGAAGGAATGGGAAGGCTAGAGCATATATGATCTCTTAATTGCCTACCTAATCAGATTAAGTAGGTCTGCTCTCACACAATCATGGAGTATGACATATATTAGCCTTATATTTCCTCCATCCCCCAAAGAAGGCTGTGACTGCTTCATGTGAAGCAGGTAGCTGGGCAGGGAAAGGATTAAGTAGCTTCAAAACGGCATTTTTAACTGAATTGGCCTATCTCTCAATATATATGTATTTAGAATAAAAATTGATTTGATTTGGAAATTTTGTTAAATACCACTCCCTACGGTCATGTTGATAATACTGTTAAATCCTGAACTTTCTGTTACTGATACTTTGCAATTAATATCAAAGTGTCAACAAGATAACAGCTTGAAAAGTGAAACCTGTTGCAGACATTCTCTGATCAAGTTTCCATGAAGCAGATGTTGGATTGATTTCTTAAACCCTGTATACACATTCATGATTGTGCTCTGCCCTTTTTTATTTCCTCCACCAATTAGAAGTTCTATCACCAGATTGTGCAGGATAGGGGATTTTTAGGTCCCAGCAGAAACAAGAAAACAATTAAAAGTGTGGTGGGTTGTGGAAGACAGCTGCAAATGTTGAACTGTTTCTACCCCACATAACACCCCTGGTTCCTTCTCCCCAAAGATCCTCTGAGTCTGTCTTAAATACAAACCAAACAGGACAATGGCATCCGGAACATTTGTCCTTTTCATAGTTTGTTTTAGAACATCACAGTTCAAAAGCCTCTAAGCAACTACTTAGTTGCACTGATCACAAAGAAATCTCTCACACAGACAGAACTATGAAACAATTTAACCGGAGTCTTCCTTCTGAGACTCCTACAACTTTTGAAAGTCACAATGAGTAAAAGGGTTTGGAGAGACATGGGGCTAAGGAAACACACATTGGTGGGGTTGTATTGATTCAAAACCAATCTGGACAGCAATTCACGTGAAATTTAAAAGGGTATACTGCACGCTGAAGGGAACATGGACTGGGTGTCAAGTCCAGATCCTCGGAACATGCAAATAAAACACTGCCCAGCATGTCTAAGACATGTTTTGAAATGTACATTTTGTACACTAACACAGGATAACAGATATGAATCAACTGCTGTGAAACCAGACCAAAGTTGGAAGTATGAGAGCAATAAGAAAAACATGACCTAAAGGGGCAATGTAGCAAACAGCAGACCATGGTCCATTTCCGGAACTTTGCTAAGAGGCAAAAGCAGGAGGTTCTGCCCCTGCTCCCCAAACCCAGATGGTAATGCAAAAGTAATTAAGTAAATGCTGAGTAATTCTTTATCAAACAGCACGATCATTCCAGAAACACATAAAGTATGTAACATAACAAGAACTATTAAATCAGTCCCAGCAGAGTTTTGAAACGAATCAGTAAAGAAGTTCACATTGATTAAAAACCAAAATGAGTCTTGGTGCATTTGACTTGTTTTGTCCCTAGAAAACAAAAGTGTTTTATCTATACCCACATGTTGTGACAGAAAACAAAACCTTTCTTGAATTTCATGCAAGGTAGATGTGATTTCCAATGTATCACCCACTCCATGCCATCCTCCAAGTTATCTTTAACAGGCTTATCAGGGAAAACAACAAGAACATATTAACAGCACAGAACTGTAGGTGTTGGATTTTATACCACTCATAAAAGGAATCTATACATGTAAATGTTTTTATTATATTTTTAGGAAGAAAAGCAAATTTTAAAATTAATGCAGAACCCATCACAGCTATCCAAAGAATGAAGATTCTTTCATGTTTTAGACAGAAAAATATTGTTCAAACGCTCCTTTCCAGGTCCATTCATGAAGCTCTTCCATTGTTTACAATGTTTGTGTACCCATTTAGGCTCATTTGAAAAATGACCACTATGTCCATTCCTCCCTCAACATATCTGAAAGGAAGCCAAGAAAAACGTTGAGAAAAAATGCCGCCTCCTGAGAATTCAGGAGAACAGTAACACATTTAGATTCTGCAAGATTAAGACAGACCCTACAAATACATATTCCTCCTAGTGGCCATGTCATTTTTCATATGCAAGACCACCACTTTCTAATAACAGATAGGTAGGAAATTACTGTCATCATAAACCGGGTTATGTATCTCAATCAACTGTTTCCTAAGGAAAGCTATGAGACTGGTGGAGGGGAAGAGGCAGTACCAAATTACTACGTCTTCCTGGTTTTGCAGTTAAAAAAAAAAAAATGTACCTCTACATTTTAAGGAGAAAGTGGCACCACCTAAATTGACCTACATTATTCAACAGATTCAAAAATGTAACTTGCCTATAACCTTAGAGATGTCATAAGCCTATGACATCTGACAGCTGGGAGGAGCCTATATTATAAATCTTTGCATAAAGGTCCAAAACTTTACTCTGGTGTTAAAGAGAAAGTACATACCTAAACTCTCTGAGTCAGCTTCCTCACCTGTAAAACATGGGTGAGCAAGTCTGTCTGATTGTTCTTGAGAGAATCAAGGGAGCTAATGTATAGTGAGCACTGAACCTTTTGCAGACTTGAAATTCAAAGGGAGCCTTGGATTTAGCCACTGAGACCAATAACTAGAGCAGACTAGTTTTGCCAAAGACTTTTAGTTTTGCCAAAGCAGGCTTAACTTCAAATAATGTGTCATGTTCTAATCTCATAGACTAGTTATACTCAACTCTGACTCACCTGTGGGGGGTTTGCTTTTGTTTCTGTTTCTTAATACAATGCTGAACTACTTCTCCTGCTCCCACCCAAAACCTTGTGAATCAGAAGCTACAGGAGGTAAGGTAATCTTGATTTATTTGTTTTTAATCTTCACAGAAGATTATGAAGCAGCCAGAGTTAAGAACTACTCACATAGCCTTGAAATGTCCTTGAAATGTTCTTGAAATTCCAATATTTCTTGAAATTCCAATATTTCAATACATAGTAAATGAATGAATCACGTCAGTAAGTTTCACCAAAAACATAAAATAAAATGAACAAAAAAGACTGAGAGCCATCACAGATCAAGAATGACATACTGACTGGGCACGGTGGCTCACACAGCACTTTGGCAGGCCAAGGTGGGAGGATGGCTTGAGCCCAGAGGAGTTCAAGACCAGCCTGGGCAACATGGTGAGACCCCATCTCTACAAAAATTAAAAATTCGCTGGGCATGGTGGTGTGTGCCTACAGTCCTAGCAATTAGGGAGGCAGAAGTGGGAGGATTACTTGAGCCCAGGGGGTCGAGGCTGCAGTGAGCTGTGATCACACCACTGCACTCCAGCCTGGGCAACAGAGGAAGACCCTGTTTCAAAAAGGAAAGGAATAACATATCATAGAATTATGAAAATAATTATTAAAAGGTACACACTTCAGACTGATGTTGTACAATAGATATATAATGAGACCCACATATGTAAGTCCATATTTGTAATTCTGAATTTTCTAGTAGCCACACTAAAAAAAGAAATAGGTGAAATTAATTTTAAAAATATATTTTATTTAATGTAATGTATCCAAAATATTATCACTTCAACAACTATTAAAATTATTAGTGAGACATTTTACATTCTTGTTTTACACAAAGTATTCAAAATCTGGCATGTATTTACACTTAAAGCACAGCTCAATTTGGACAAGCAACAAGTCCAGTGGTCAATAGCCACATATAGCTAATGGCTACTATATTGGACAGTACAGCTATAGACTGTAATATATACATGTGTACCTGTGAATATAGTGCCGGATATTTTTATAACACCTGAAAAGACTACACTAATATAATTTTGCATACTTCTACAACAGCAACATGGACTGGCTGTCATATGAAGTAATAAAGGCAATCACTATTTCCAAAAGCTGCTACTGGGCAGGACTGCAGTACTTTGCCTTTAGTGTGAAGTGTGTTCAAAATTATTTATGAGTGCAAAAATGCTATACCTTAAGTGAAGTGTTTCAAAATTAATATCCATAAATAAGAACATTAAACACACACACATATTTGTGTTGTGTTTGTGTACTCCATACATGGCATTTTCTATCTAATACAGTAAGTAATAGTAAAATAAACATTGATTCTCATAGGAAATCGGGTATCTTTCATGTATACTCATGTATACAGTAAGTAACTCAACCTGATAAATAACATAATTATCTGGGGATGCAGCACACAGAGTTGAGCAGTTTTGCATGCACAAGAGGCTGAGTGGGGGCTGAAAGCCATTTCTCTCTCTGCTTACCAAGTGGGTGGGGTACCTTGGATTCTTCCAACTCATCAGCCTAGAGGGACACTTTTTTTCTAATAGAGCAAAACAGTACCACGTATTCTAGTGAATGTCATGAGCCTTGGAAGTGCAAGGAGTTTTATTAGAATGCGTTCATTTGAGTAAAAATAGATGACAGATCTGGCCCATTCTCCATATCTTCCAAGCCAAAGTCATCTCTTCCTTGCTAATACTCAACAATGCAAAACTTTGAAATAATAACCAAGTACTTCTCAGATCCAAGGTAGTTCTACAAAATTATTAACTTGAAGCCTCTACTAGTGAAAAGTTTGAATGGCCCACTCCCTGGGCATAAAGCGAATAATAATTTCAGTTTTCCTAACAACAACAAAAAAAAGCAGGTTTTCTACTTATGTGCCTGGTTTTCAAAGTACATTGATTTCATTTCAGACAATAGCACAGAATATTTACTTTTCAGGTTAATACATCTAAAATAACTACATCTTACACCACAGTTACTCTCAATCAATTTACCCTACTCTATCTTTTTCCATTGGCCTTAGTGCTATCTTAAATGACTTTGTTCATGTATTAGTTTACATCATTAATATCAAAGATCTCCAATTGTATATAAGCTCCATGAGGAAAGGACTTTGCCTATTGTTCACTGTTTTATTCTCACTCCATAAGTCTAAGCACCGCATAAATATTTTTAAAAGTAAGTTTCTGAAGAAGTATTCCAGAATTCTAAATCTCAAAATATCTATCATTAAAGAATACCTGAGGGAGAAGGGGCAGAAGGAATATTGTTTGTGACAGACTAGGGGCTTGGAACAGCATGACTGGTTCTGGAAACTACAAATGGGAAACGTGACTCATGAATGTACTGGCTTCAGTGCAAGGAGAGGGAAGAACTCATTTCACAGCTACAAGACAATACTAGAAATAGCCTATCATTTACAAAAAGTTTTTCATTTA
Organism: Homo sapiens; assembly: GCF_000001405.40. NCBI lineage: Eukaryota > Metazoa > Chordata > Mammalia > Primates > Hominidae > Homo > Homo sapiens. The sequence goes on from NC_000014.9 coordinate 37,051,462, forward strand.
AGGGTAGATTAATTCACCCAGACTGAACTCCTAGGCTATGGTGACCTATTCTTACCTATTCAATCAGAATATGTAAGAAACAGATGGCACAGGCAACTTGGGCAATTGGAAAAGAGTTTAACAAAGGGACTATTTACAAATATGGTGCAGGGTTGAAGGAAACCAACAGTGGCTACTTCAATACCGAGGGATGAGCAAAGCATTTCCCACCCCTGAATCTAAAAGGGCAAGAAAGGGCCAGAGCTCTGCAAGGACAGTCATATGGAAAAGGCCACCTGGTAGTTGCTGTGGTCTTTGTCCAAGGGACACAAAGAAACCTGTGTGACCAGGTAGGGAGAGAGCCAGTGGAAAATACTCTGACCTCATTGTCCTTCCACCTGCCTGATCTCCCACCAGGGCCTTCCTATTGGTTGAACTTAACTGGAAGCCAGAGAGCAAGGGAACTCACTGAGCAGTCCAGACGGCAGCCGGCGGGCACACAAAGCAGCCTGGAGAGGAGTGAAGAGTGGACCCGAAGGGCCCGAGCACATCCTGTGGAATTGAAATGCAGTGTGAAAAGGTGGTTTGCTTTACACTGTGGCTTTATGTTCCAATCTTAGGTTAAAACCATGATTTGAATTATTTAAACACACAGTTGTTGCTGCTGCATTCAAAAAGGCAAGTTATATGCATAATAAATTTCCCTTAATAGGATAAAAGCGGAATTCACAGCATTAAAGTACAGTTCTCTTAAAGCATTTAAATGAAGAACTAAAGAAATGTGATCCAGGGATGCAAGTATTTTTTATCATCTAACTTGAAAAGAGACAGTTATAGAAGATTGAAAAATCGATAGTATAAACTTTAGGCCTGTAGGTCCAAACCGGGCTATGCAACACAACCAGCTGAAGAGTATTTAAAACTGCAGGCTCCTGGATGCACCCAGCTGGACCCCACTGACTCTTAAGGGAAGGGGCATAGAAATTGATGACACAGATTTTGGAACTAATGTTTTAGAATTTCCCTTTTAAATGTTAAATATCTTTGTTCTTTTAACAGTGTTTTTATTTTTGCATGCTTCTTTCTGTGCTGTTTTAAATTAAGTATTCATCTCAATCATTTTTTAATTCAAATTTTGAAAACCAATCAGCAAAATAATTAATAACCATGTACATTTAATAAAAGACTTATCAACATAAACTTTTTTTTTCCCCCCGAGACAGAGTCTTACTCTGTCTCCCAGACTGGAGTGCAGTAGCGCAATCTGAGCTCACTGCAACCTCAGCCTCCCAGGTTCAAGCGATTCTTGTGCCTCAGCCTCCAGAGTAGCTGGAATTACTGGCACACTACACCATGCCAGGCTAATTTTTGTATTTTAGTAGAGATGGGGTTTCACCATGTTGGCCAGACTGATTTCGAACTCCTGGCCTCAAGTGATCCACCTGCTTCGGCCTCCAAAAGTGTTAAGATTACAGGTATGAGCCTTTGCATCTGGCCAACACAAGCCTAATTTTAAGATTATTTGTCCTTTATATAATCTAAGAAGATTTCAATATACGATTTTTGACAGCTTTATTGAAGCATAATCACATAGAATAAACTGCAAATCAATATATCTGTTTTATTTTGAGATAGAAAAAAGTCCTTTGAGTGTATGAGCAAAAAGACCAAGTGACTTATAATGAACATAAAATTGAATTGTTGTTAGGCTTTTCAATAGCAATGTTTTATATCCTATGAAAATAGAGTAACATTTAAGATACTAAAGGAAAAGAGATGAGAACCAAGGATTTTGTATAGAGCCTAACAGACTCAAGTATGAAAGCCACCAATAAGCCATTACTGACATATAAGAATTCAGGAACTATTGCTTCCATGAGCTTTTGCAGAGGAATCTATTAGAGAACAAGTTTCATGCAATCAAAATTACTAGAGAGACATCAACTTGTGATGAACATTAAATATGAGGCTATTTTTAGAACTAAGACCAAATAAGAGTTAAAAGGGCAGGTTAAAAGGAAAGAAAGGTTAAATGCTATATAATGTATATCCTCTGACAATGTAGATACAGTAGAACAATTTTTTAATGGAGAAAATGGAGAAAACATATACAAAAATAATTTTCTTAACTCATCTCATAGTCATTTTGGTGGAAGCATCCAATTTGTAGCCTTAAAATACTATTTCCCATTAAAAGATACCAGAAACTTCCCTTCTAGCTTCAGGGAGGAAATGTGCAAGATAAAACCTGAAATAGTTTGTTATACCATGTCATAAAGAAGCTACTGAATGCTATTAGGTATCTTCCTCTGAATAGATTAGAAAAAAAATGCTATTAGGGTCATGTCAGAAGATTCAGAAGTCAACTAAAGAGTCTCACATTAGCCAAAGATAAGACAATTTGAGCATCAATAAAAAATAATAGCTGCAATGGATTAAAGCACATCAATATATTTAAATCCATGAAATGATAATACTTTTTTAAAAACTGGTTGCCTTAGAACTATAAACGTGGTAGACTAAAAATGGCCACAAATTCCTTGCTATTCCTCCCATTGAGAGGTAAAATGTATTTCCCTTCTGCCTGATATGGTCTGGCTTTGGGGACTTGCCTGAGCAATACAATGAAGTGGAAACAACATTCTTCAAAGTAACATCAAAGCCTAGGTTACAATAAGCCTTGCAACTTCCATCTGGTTCTCTTGGGGAACATTCTCTGTGGAAGACCTGAGCTGTCCTTATAAGATAGTTCTAGTTGATAGTCTCAGCTGAGCCTAGCCTCCCAGCCATACTCACCAAGCCATCATACATGTGAGTAAAGCCAACTAGGATCTCTCAAACCAGCCTATCTACAACTGAATATCACCAAGTGACCACAGTCAATGCCATATGAAGCAAAAGAACCATCCAGCTGAGCCCTGCCCAAACTCCTGACCTATACAATCATGTGATATAAAATACAATTTTTTTGTTGTTGTAAGCCATGAAGTTTGAGAATAAATTATTGTACATCAATAGAAAGCCAGAACAAATTTTTGTATCTGGAAATAGAGTTCTGCAATAACAGAAACCTAAAACATGTGGCATTAGCTTTGACACTAGGTAGTGGCAGAGGCTGGAAGAGCCTCAAGGAGAGTGGTAGTGGCATATGAAGGGCTCTCAGGAGACTTGGTGAGGAGGTGATGGAAAGTGAGGAAAATGCTAATAGAGGTTGGAAAAAAGGTGTTGAGAAGTTTGACAAGACTGTGGCCTTCAGTAATTTGGAAAATAGAACTAAAAAAAAGAATTGTTCCATTTTTTAACAGAATTTAGAGGAAATAAAAAGATCTAGAACTTTCTAGGTTTAAATAAAACAATTTCTGATCCCCAATCTCTCGCAGCAAAATAATCTCAAAATTATGAATGGCTTTGGAGCAAATATCAAATCCAAACTCTGCAAACATGAAAAGGAAAAGAAAGAATGACACAGAGTGAGAAAAAAATGCACAGAGGGCAAGGCCAGAGAAACATTTCCAGGGAGAAGGATGAGGCCCTAATCAAGAAACCAGTGACTTCTGCCCAGCTGGAATTCAGAATTGCTATAGACCTTCATGGCTATGCTCCTGTTTCACCCCCTTGTGACTGCAAGCGTCAACTGCGGAAATCTTATACCCTTGTCATCATTGTATGTTAGGTGTATAGGGGGTGTGAGAGGAAAGGACAGAGAATTATCTAATTCATAGGCCTTCAGGTTGAAAGAAACTGTGCTGGAGAATGCTACACCTGAGAAATTAAACCCAAGGAATTTCATCTGCATCTAGAATTGATTTAATTAATGACTATTAGACTCTGAGCAGATGTCACGATGAGATGAAACTTCGGAGGACTGGGGAAGGAAATAACTATATTTCACACTTGGCAGAAATGTAAATGCTTTGTGGCAGAGGGCAGCCTGAAGTAGATCATATGTGGCCAGATATCTTCACTGCTCCACTCATGGAAAGGTGGAATCCCATTTCCTTTCCCTTGAATCTAGGCTGGATTTAGCAGCTTCCTTGACCCAAGAAAGCAGCAGAAGAGACACCATAGAACTTCTTATGACTTGGGAGCCTTACAGCTTCAACCTGGGCCTCTTGAAACATTCTTTCTGGTGGGCCTGAGCTGCCGAACATGGAAGTCCACCTACCCCAAGGTGTCTATGTTGGAGAGGGAAGGTGTAGCCTCTCCAGGTGACAGTCTAGCTGAGCCTAGTCTTTCAACCATCCCCACCAAGGCCCCAGACATGTGAGTGACCATCCAGAATTGTAAATTGGAGACACAGATTCCTATTTTACTCTGTTTTGTAAAAGAGTACGTAATAGCTCCAGTGAAGACATTATGAAACTTCACAAGTATTATAAATTCTAGAAAATAACATATCTAATATGTACATCCATAAAATGATGCTGATATGGTTTGGCTTTCTGTCCTCATGCAAATCTCATGTTGAATTGTGATCCCCAGTGTTGGAGGTGAGGCCTGGTGGGAGGTGACTGGATCATCAGGGTGGTTTTTAAAGGTTTAGCACCATCTACCTAGTGCAGTCTCATGATAGAGTTCTCACGAGATCTTGTTTGAAAGTGTGCAGCACATCCTCCTTCACTCTCTCTTCCTCCTGCCAGCCATGTGAAGATGTGCCCTCTTCCCCTGTGCCTTCTGCCATGATTGTAAGTTTCCTCAGGCCTACCCAGAAACAGAAGCCTATATAGCCTTCAATTAAACTTCTTTTCTTTATAAATTACCTAGTCTCGGCCGGGCGCTGTGGCTCACGCCTGTAATCCCAGCACTTTGGGAGGCCGAGGCGGGCGGATCATAAGGTCAGGAGATCAAGACCATCCTGGCTAACACAGTGAAACCCCGTCTCTACTAAAAATACAAAAAATTAGCCAGGCGAGGTGGCGGGCGCCTGTAGTCCCAGCTACTCGGGAGGCTGAGGCAGGAGAATGGCGTGAACCCCGGGGGGCGGAGTGTGCAGTGAGCCGAGATCGCGCCACTGCACTCCAGCCTGGGCGACAGCGAGACTCCATCTCAAAAAAAAAAAAAAAAATTACCTAGTCTCAGGTATGTCTTTAGAGCCAGCATAAGAATGGACTAATACAGATGCAGACACACACATCTCCATATTGTACACATCCTCCAAGTCTGTGAAATGACTCACACTCTTTCCCAGCAGATCCACACACAGTGAGCCTGCCACAGTTTTCCTCCTTACATTCTGGCCACCCTGCTGTGCACTGACCTCCAACTACACACAGACTTGGCGTCTGCAGCCAAGTCAGCACTGAAAGATAATTTATTTTTACATACAAGGGGCAAACGTTCATCCATATCCATCACACCTTTCCAAAACATCAGGCTTTTCTTTCTCCCATACAGACTTCCAAAAATCTTTATCTGGACATGGTATTGATTTTAACCCTGGATCCATAAAGACTAGAAACACTTCAAAATCTTCTCATTTTTCTCCCTAGAAGCCTTTAAATAAATCTCTACACACTGAGAATTCGATTTGTTTGGTTTCTTTAAACCTCATCACACGAAAAAGCCAAAGACCACTTTAAATAAGATTTCACAAATGTGTTATTCTTTTTATTTGGGGTTTAATGTGAATTCTCATTTAAATTTTAACCTTTATATCTAAAGGAATGCATTATCATTTTCTTCCCTTTGAATTTAGGACTTTCAAATGCGTTACATGGCTACAATAATCTCTGTTTAGTCACCAGCTCCCTAACTATTTTTAGCTTTTGCAGTTTTGACGTTCCTCACCCAGCTCATTTTTTGAAACAATTTTGTTTTGCTTTTATCTATGATACAGTAACAGTTGGAATCCTAAAAAGCAATATTCCAGGTGGGTCCTGAGTGCCTTGTCATTTATATAGTATATTTTTCCTCTGGCCAATAAATTTTATGATGAATTTAAATTGGAAAATTTTAGCAAGTTGAGCTACAAAAAGGACAAATTGTTATAATTGGAGGATTTTCACAATTTCTTTTGAGTTTTCTAGCTCCCTTTTCATACCCTCAACCAAAAAGTGACTGGATCTGAAAATCGTGTGAAATTCTCCCAGTTAAATCATTAGACATTCAGCAACAGTAATAAAAAAATAACAACTTTTAAAAAATAAATGGCTTATAGCATTGACTGATTCTACTGAATATGTACAACTGACAGTAAAACAATTTTACTCTCCTTTATTGATGAATTACAATGTTGTCACTTTTTATTTTGCTATGTTAACTTGAATTTTCAAAGAAGTAGAAGTTTTCCTTTGGTAAAATATTTTATTTCCAGATTTTTAGTTCTATCTTATCAATATGTGCCTCCTTTTGTCATTTTGAGAGCGTTTTCCCTTTTAACAACATATGCATATTAAGATCTAGAACACTAACATCTTAATAAATTAATATCTAGAACACAAATACTGACATGGATCACAGAAATGACCTTCAGCCCCTACCTCACAGTACCCAGAATGGTTTGCATTTTTACATTTGGCATATGAACAGCTTTCTGCCCACACAGCAATAATCATATCCGTGCAATTTTGAATTTGGAATATGTTCATGAGATGTTATTGCCAGCACTTTCCCAGGCTCACATCACAGTAAAACTACAGTCTATTGATCCAAAACGTTCAAAATTTTATTAAACAATTTAAAAAATGAATGAAGCTTATCAATGGAAAATTGTTTTCTGCACTTATTCAGATATTCATACAATTCAATGTAATCTGTTGAAATAAGTTCAGAAAATATTTATTAAATGCCAGGAATTTAGTGATGAAAACACAGTTCATACTACCTACCAAAGCCTTTATAGTATCTCTTCTACCATTAGGATGATCCTCACTCTTTTGGAAGATTTCAGGTTGTTAAACATACAACTCATTTGACACATCTGTGTATGCAACTATTGAAACAGGACATCTGGTGGCAATCTTTGTTTTATATCACTTCCAACAATATAAAATAATGAAAGCATCTCAATATTTCTTTTAAATCCAGATCTGTGAGATATGGAAATTAATTGTTTTATAAAAGTTCATTTTCCTCCATGAGTTTTCATGTTCTCAGCCATAAGATGAAGGGATTGGACAAGATGATGTCTAAGGCCTTTTCCAATTTTAGGGCACATAGATTCTATTCTGCCACTGGTGAGAAAGAGCATTATTTAGTCTAAACAGAAGGTTCTCTGACATATATTGTTACAATATCTGAAATACCAAATGAATTTGGGGACTCTAGGGTTTGAAGGCCATAGCAAGCTCTTTGGGATGGCCTATAACATTTGTGATCAAGTTCTGCTGAGGCTGATACTTGGTCTAGGAAATCAGTCCTTTTCCACTCAGGAATGTACAAAGTGGCACCATGGTTGGTCTGCTACTTAGAACCTTGCTTGGTCTTGCCCTCTTGGATCAGATGAACATAAGTGGCATCTGAACTGATGGTCACCCCTTCCCTCTGCCTCAAACTCCTCCCTTAAGAAAGGTTAAGAATCTCCATGAAGACTTCCATGTCCTTTCCAGGTAGGAATCCCTTTTTCTCTGGCTACTATTCTAACTTAAATGCACCTATTGTTACACCATAATTATTCAAGTATCTTTTCTTATTTTAAACCATGAACATCTTCAGGGCAAGGATCACGTCTTGTTTATCTTTGTATCTAACACAAGTGCCTTCCACAAGAAGAAATTCAAATAACAGTAATAGTCCACATTTACAGAGTGTTTATTAAGTGGCAGCTACTGTATACACATCAACTTTTATCCCTTACACCCATCCTATGAAGCACTTACTATTATTATCATCACCATTTTACAGATGAAGCAACAATCATAAAGTTAAGTAACCTGTCCAAGGTTACACTCAGTAGACAGTGGCAGAGCGAGAGTATGAACCCAAAGAGTCTGGTAACCGAGTCTGTACTATTAACTATTACATGGTAGTTAATTATTGCATGATACCACCTTTCATTATGTTACTGTCATATACTGTCACACAAATTATTCTCCCCTTCGTCTGAGACAAGGAATTTCTTCCTAACCTGGGCCTCCAGATGATATCTTAAGTTATATAAAGGAGAATTGGGTTTTTTTAAATACAGTGTTAATTCCATTTGGGAAAGGTTAACCGAAACAAACAAACAAACAACAACAAAACCATGAGAAACAGACTTTTGAGTGTTTACTGCCAAGAGAAAAATGCCCACAAAGGCACACCTGCAGGCAACTTCTTCTATAATGGAAGTTTTCACAGAGTTGACAAGGATAAACAGGGTCTGGTGACAATGTCAGCATCTGAGGTGCCTTAGCTAGTCTGGAATGGCCAGATGAGGGCATGGGTGGAGTCAGTACAGTCCGCACTAGAGGGGTATCAACCAACAATTCCAGATCCAAACCTGGAAACAACTAACAAGCTCCACTCCAGCAGAGGGCTGAGTAGTGGCACAAACAAAAGTGTGTTTCACTAAGGAGCTAAGGCAGCAAGCTAACAAGAATAAAGGTCTTTTCTTATTTTTAAGAAGAATTATAAAGACTGAGATAAGAGAAATATTTCATTTCCCCCTTAACTCTGTGCTATGGAATAAATGTAACAAATTCATGTTAAAATCCTAGCCCCTTTAAAAAAAAAATCCTAGCCCCCAGTGTGACGGTATTAGGAGGTAGGGCCTTGGGCAGGTAATTTAGGTAATGCAGGGTCCTGATGAATGGCATTAGTGTCCTCAGAAAAGAGAACACAAAGAAGGCTCTAGTCCTCCCTCCAGAGGAGTGCCCACACCAGAATCCGATCATGCTGACACTGTGATCTCAGATTTACAGCCTCCAGAACTGTAAGAAATAAATTTCTATTATTTATAAGCCATCCAGTCTATGGTATTTTATTATAGCAGAATGAAATGACTAAGGCACTCTACTCTCTAATAATAATAATAATAATAATAATAATAATAATAATAATAATAATGATGTAACCCAAGAGAAGTAGGGCATGGTGGAAACTGTAAAGAATTAAAAGGAGAAGTTGAAACACTCATCCAGGAATTGGTTGCCAAATGTTTCAATTTTTCATGGGAAGTAAAAAATCCAGATTTTAATGTGAAATATTCCAATTTTTACAACATTAGTTATTGATTCCATTAAACACCACACACACACACACACACACAATGCAAATAAACCCTGGATGTACCAAATAAAACATAACTGCAAGTCAGATTTGGCCCACTGCCCATCTTTGCAACCTCGGAAGACAGGCTCCAAGTTCTCCAACACTTAGAAAACAAAAACAACTACATGGGCAAACATGGTTACTTGTAGTCAGAAATTTTTAAAAAGAGTATTATTTAAAAACTAGACAAGGTGAGGAGAAGCAAAGGGAAAAGCAGGGGAGAGCCCGGAAGCCAGTGGGTTAAGATGATGGTACCAGAAATCCAAACCACAAATGTTTGGATTTGAACATCCAGGGGACGTTCTGCCCAATAGAGCTGCCCTTACTACTTCTTGCTATAAACTGAAGCTGGTAGTGGGTGGCTGTCCCAGGAATTACAGTTCTCACAGGAAGTGAATGCAGGTGGTTGGAAGAAAAAGCCCTCTCCCTGCAGGTGTGCTCTGATCCCTGCTGGAGCAAGGACAGTCCAGCTGGGATTCCAGGGAGATTCTTATGGTAACAGTCCCTGAACTTTCCATTGTAAATAGGAAGAACACCTCAGAGACTAGGAGGTTAAGCCCTCCTATATTTCAGAGCCCCCCTTGTCTGCCAAGCCTCCTCAAGTGTTCCACAAATAAAGCACATTTTGCTATGACACCAACGAACAGCAACTGGTCCCAAGCAACAGCATTCAGGCTGATTCCTCAAATGTCAGTTTGCACAATCTGCCCTCTTTCTTGTAGACCACCCAGTCTTCTTGTAATGACTCTACCTTGTCTCATTTATTTTCTTCATGGCAACAGAGGCCCCAATTTCCTTAGTTAAATTTCATTTTCTCCCTTATGCAACTGCTGATTTATTTGTAATTCCCTGGCTCTCTATTAGTTAGCCAACATGATTTTTTCCCCTCTAGTCAGCTGAGAAATATAGTAGAATTGATAAACTGTTACTGTTCTACTCTATTTAGAGAACAATGAGGAACAAAATAATAGGGAAAGAGAAAAAAAATCAAGTACAAAGAGATTAGAAGGGAAAAGAAACAAAAAAGGCAGATGCCACACACAGGTAGTTCATAGTTCATAGTGTCCTTTTCCCTGAGACAAGAAAACAGTCTTAATGAATTTACCCTATCATTTTGGTGCAGCCCATGTTATTGCATTATTATAATGAAAAACACATCAGAATATGTCTAGACACATGACATACTCCTGGTAGAGAGTTCCCTGCACTTCAAAAAATTGTGGTTCAATTTCCTTCTGGGAAATGCTCCAATGGCAACATTTCAGGTTCTTGAAAGGCTCTTCAGAATGACCGCCTAAGGGGAGGCCACCTCCAAAAGTAGACTTAAAGCATCAGGGCACTGTAAGGGCTGGCAGAGCTTTCCATGGGAAAATGGTCCAAACAGTATGGCCCCCCTGTAGAAACCCCACATACAATAATCCACTGATAGGTTCTGCTACATGCAGAGTAGCTGTGGCAGTCTAAATAAAACACTGAAAAGAACCTGTAAACAGAAGAGAAGTAATAAAATACTTTGTTTTGGGGATTCTTTCATTTTAACTACATATGGATTAAGCAAATCCAATTGGTATAACTTTCACCAATGTGTTGATTTAAACCAAATTCTACAGGCATTGGAAGTCAGGAAAGGAAAATCATACCACATCCCCATGGTACTTTACCTATTATAGGGTAAATGATGCTATGCCTGTGTTCTCACAGAAGAGTTGTGAGAAGAATAAGTCCTAAACTGCAGGCATCATGCTGAGATTGTAATTCTAGCTGTGCCACTCAGACTCAAATCTCTAAATGCAAACCACGTAACCTCCACTCATATATTCGCAAAATAATTTTTTTTTTAAAAAAAGAACTCTCTATTTAATCCAACTCCTAGAAACCTCTGAAATTTTATCACATGAAGAGCAGTATGAGTAGAAGACTTGAGAGGTATTCAGATGCTCGCTGTTTGCACTCCAGGTCAACAAGTATTTGCAGGTGGCTATACACTTCAGTGTATAACCAGGAACATAAATAGATCAACAGCTTGTCAGGGTGAACACTAAAGTCAAGGAGCCAACCATCAAGATCGGGACAGGGGAGTGACCCTTGGGAAATAAGAAGCATAACAATCAGTTTAAAATACTGAAGGTTTAGATAAGTTATAGGGGTTTGATAAGTGGGCTGGTGTAATAGAGAGGCTATCTTAGCAGAAGTGAAACATTATTTAGGCCTTGACTCTGGGTACCCTTGAACACACGGTACCTTGAACCCTGGTGTATTAGTGCATTCTCACGCTGCTATGAAGAAATACCCAAGACCGGGTAATTTATAAAGGAAAGAGTTTTAATTGACTCACCATTCCACATGGCTGGGGAGGCCTAAGGAAACTTAAAATCATGGTAGAAAGTACTTCTTCACAGGGCAGCAGGAGAGAGAATGAGTGCCCAGCAAAGGGGGAAGCCCCTTATAAAACCATCGTATCTCATGAGAACTAACTCACTATCAAGAAAACAGGATGGAGAAACCGCCCCCATGATTCAATTACCTCCACCGGGTCCCTCTCACAACACGTGGGGATTATGGGAACTACAATTCAAGATGAGATTTGGGTCCAGGTGAGGTGGCTCACACCTGTAATCCCAGCACTTTGGGAGGCCGAGATGGGTGGATCACTTGAGGTCAGGAGTTCAAGACCAGCCTGATGAACATGGTGAAACCCCGTCTCTACTAAAAATATAAAAATTAGCCAGGCCTGGTGGCTTGAGACTGTAATCTCAGCTATTCGGGAGGCTGAGGCAGGAAAATCGCTTGAACCCAGGAGGTGGAGGTTGCAGTGAGCCAGGATTTTGCCACTGCACTCCAGTCTGGGTGACAGAAGGGAGACTACGTAAATCATGTCACCTGGGTATCCTTGAGCACAGAGAAAGGCATACTAGAACAGGAAAACATTACTGCAAAAGCACAACTGAGGTGCATGTTGTGGAGGGAGGGTAAGGAGTAATAGTTACCGTGGATTTGTGAGCACTTCAGCTTGACTGGCACTTACTGGAAAGGGGAAGTCAAATGAATCAGGTTACAAGAAGCCAAATTCTGAAGTCTGGAAAGCAGGCCTCCTGGAAGAAAAATCTCTCCCCAGAGAATTTGACCCTTGATCCCTTGATTCAACAGCTAACCCAAAAGATGTTGGCCTTGCCCTAAGGAGCAGCCCATGTGTTGCTAGACTCAAAACACAAAATGATCCCACATAACAATTAGGCAGTAAACCGAAATGCAACCCAAACAAGACTTTTCCTGAAACCACCACCCCTTGTGCCATTGACTATCACGATGATGGTTAATTTTAGGTGTAAATTTGACTGGCTTAAGGAATATCTAGATAACTGGTAAAGCATTACTTTCAGGTGTGTCTGTAAGGGTGTTTCCAGGAAAGATTGATGGATGAGTCAGTGAACTGAGTGAGGAAGATTAACCCTCAATGTGAGCAGGTGCCATCTAATTAACTGGGAGCCCAGATAGAACAAAAAGACAGAGAAGACAAATTATCTCTCCCTCCCTACTGGAATTAGGACACCCTTCTTCTCCTCCCTTGGACATCAGAACTCCAGGCTCTCCAAGACTTATACCAGTGGCCCCTTGGGTTCTCAGGCCTTTGGTCTGGGACTGAGAGTCAGACCATTGGCTTCCCTGAGGCATTCAGACTTGGGCTGAGCCAACTACCCATATCCCAGGGTCTCCAGCTTGCAGTTAGCCTATCGTGGGACTTCTCAGCCTTCATAATTGCATGAGCCAGTTGATAAATTCTCTTGTCTCTCTCTCTCTCTCTCTTTTTCTACCTTCTGTTGGTCTGTCTTGGGAGAACCCTAATACAGTCACCATCTACCTACTCCAGTTGTGGAGTTGGTTCAACTCTGTATTCTATCTGGATCCTCCTTCCTAGCCTGGATCCCCAAACAACTGTGAATTGTGAATTCACAACAGTCCAAATCTGCTTCTGTTTGGATACACAAACCAGACTGTACCCCTTCAGGACTCACAGTTATTCTATCATTTTTGCTACCACCATCACCAACACCCCATTCTATGAATTAACTCATTTGTGTCTCTCAATTGGTTTACTGTACTGCTCATTCTGTCCCTTATCCTATTTCACTTCCAGGTTGACAAAAACTCTTGTCCAAAAATAATTATTAGACACCTATGAGACAGACACTGTAGTAAGCACTAGGGACATAAAGACAAGGCATGCATATTCTCAAAAGAGTATAGAACATTGGGAAGGCAGATCTGCTTTCATCCCTTCCTTTGACACACATCTGTTAAGGGCCTAATATATGCCAGCTACTCTACCAAACCCCCAGGATACAAAAGTAAATAAGACACATTACCTGCTCTTAAGGAACTTATGGTCTATTTGGAAAAGACTGACAGGAAAACAAAACAAACAAACCATACAATGAAGTGAAATACAGTATATATGTATATGCTGGGACCAACTGGAGTAGGAATAATCTATGGTACTTTGGGGAAAGGATTTGTTCAGAGAAGCCTTTATGGATGAGGTGACACTTGAGATTTGAAAGCTGAGGAGTGTGTGAGGGGTACAGAAGAACCCTGAATGCAGAGATTATACTGTGACAAAACATGGTAGCCTAGGTTATTCAGATCAGACTTCCCACTGAAAACAACAATATTGGATAAGGTACAAAAGCATCTTCTTAAAATAATAAAAAGCTGACAAGAAAGTATTTTAACCAGGCTAAAATCTAAGTGAAGCAGGAGCTCAGGGAGGTGAACCGAGCTCTGGAGATTATTTTGGCTCAAGACATCTGTCAATTGTAGACCTCTCAGGCTGAGAAGAAACCAACATCAAAGCTCAGTTCATGCAGGTGAGGAGACAAATTGAAGTGCTTCTCTATATTAAACTGTTTCCCCAAAGGGTTACACCCTCAGGGAAAGGGCAAATTAGAAGTCCTACTCCATTCCATTCCCAACACCAGGGGACTTAAGGAAATTTGTCTATTGCTGAGCAGATTAAGGAGGAATGTCCCTGAGAAGTTGTAACTAAAAGGTGGTCCTTGAGCCAATGTGCAGACTGAATTTACATCACTTAAAGAAGGGTACATTCAAACACTTCAGATATTGAATCATTAGACATATATGGTAAAACAATTATGCATACTATATTTAAAGATAGAAATAAAAAGTGGGATAAAATTTAAGAGGAAAAAAATTAACAAAATGTGCCTTAGCAGATTTGAAAGGAATTGAACACTCTTTTGAATTGAGAAATAAAACTAATTTGAAACGAATGGTTTTTACAATGATTGTAGTAAAGATTAAATTTAATCAGGCAAGGATCATCAGTGAATGCCAAATCTGAGGGAAAATTTGTATAAGGAGCGGGATATTCGTATAATCTTAAAGTGCGAACCCACAAGCTGCTTATTAGTTTCAAGAGAGGAGAGGAAAAGAAATTAGATGGTGGAGAAATCAGGTAACTTAACCGATTCATCAGAATTGGTATCCACACTTCCAGATATGACACTCGGAGAAAAATACAGTATCAAAAAGGCTGTCTTCTTGCCAAAAATGTGTAACTTGAATCTAATCATAAGGGAACATCACACAAACCCCCTATTAGGAATATTCTATTTCTAAAAGGTAAGAGTGGGGATTTTGGTCTTTCAAAAGGTAAATGCCATGAAAGACTAAATAAGGCTAAGAAAATGCTCCAGATTTAAAAAGGCTTCAAAGACATGACAACTAAATGCAATACCTGACTCTACACTGCACATGGCACTGGAGAGGAATAAAATGATATCGAGGACATCACTGAGTCAACTGAAAAAATGGATTATGTGAACAGATGAAATAAAAAGCATTGTACTAATACTTTTTAAGTGGTAAATTAAAATTTACCATGCAAAAAGTATTTACATTCATACTTGTACTGTAGCTATATGAAAATATCCTTACTCTTCAGAAATAAACACTGCAGTACTCAGGGGTTAAGGACCATGATGTATGTAATTTACAACAAATGGTTCATAAAAAAGTACACATATAAATATTTCATTTAAAAAGTATATGTGTGTATATACATGTATATATAAGTATGTATATTTACATTTAAAATTATATACACATGGAGAGAGAGAGAAGGACAGAGAACAAACAATAAAGATAAAGGCATAAAATATTGATAATAGATGTACCTGAATAATAAGTTTAGAAGTATTCTTTGTACTGTTTTACTTTTTCAACTTATCTAGAAGTTTTAAATGTTTAAAATTATTTTCAGATAAAAAGAAAACAAAAGACCTGAATGAATGGATTCAACAACAATCTAGACATAGATGAGGGAAAATACTAGCACTCTAAAAAATGGGGCAGAAGAAATTATCCAGAATACAGTACAGTGGGGAAAAAAATGTAAATACGAAAGAGAGATTAGGCTTAATGGGCTAAGGAGTAACATATATTTAACTAGAGTTCCAGAAGAAGAGAAGAAAAATAATGGGGAAGCAGGAGGGGCAAAATTTGAAGAACTAACCATTTTTTAGAACTACTAAAATATAACAATCGCAAATTTATGAATCCCAGTGAATTTTGAATAGGCAAATAAAATGAAATGAACCTGTAGTAACATCAGAGTAAAACTGCATTACTCCAAAAAATGAAGTAAAAGCAGCCAGAAGTAAAGGACAGATTATTCCTAAAGAGCATCAGTTTGACAGCTGACTTCACAAAAACAACAGCAAAAGCCAAAAGATGCTGTGAAATTATATACATAGGTATTAAATGTACTGAGAGACAATAACTGCCAACCTTGAATTCTGTACCCAGAAAATGCATCCTTATTATAAGCATGTTTTCAGACAAATAAAGAGATTTTTTTTCTATCATCGGACCCTGACAAAATGGATTCCAAAAGGATATACTACAAGCGGAAGGAAAGTGATCCCAGATGGAAAATCTGAGATGCAAGAAGTAATGACAAGCAAAAAAAGCAGTAAATATATGAGAGGACTCCATGAACAAAAGTATGGAGGCAGAAAATAGTCTAGTGTGTTCAGGGAATTGCCAGCAGCTTGGCTGTAGATTGGTGAAGCAGAGAGTTAGTCTTTCAACTCTATCAAATACAAATCCTATCAGTAAAAACTAAAATTAAGCATGTGCTCAGAATACATGTAGATTTACTTATTTATGAAAATATTATGTATATTATAAAATGTGCACAAAAATAATTTAAAAGGATAGGATTAAGAACAAAATATAAATAGAACTTCTGATATCTTCTTCCCGTATTCTAAGTGATTCTATTACAAAATTAGGAGTCAGCAAACTATGGCCTGCAGGCCAAATCTAGCCCACCATCTGTTTTGTCCTACAACAGCAAAGCTGGATAGTGGTGGCACAGATGTATAGCCCATGAAGTCTAAAATATTTACTATCTGGTTCTTTACAGGAAACGTTTGCCAACCCCCGGACTTGAACACAGGCCGCGACAGCAGAGTCAGGGTTCATAGTCACCACATTGTGGACTTGTCCATCATACCGGGAATAAGGAGCTCCGAAGGATTTTAAGCAGGAGAAAGGTCATTCTGGCAGCCACATGGTAAATGGAACAGAAGAAAGATGCCTGATGAAAGGGAAGCCAACTAGGAGATATTTTGTGACAGTGATTAAAGTGCTTTTCCTCTCTGACACCAGGTTCTCTGTCTATAAAATGGGTGTGATAATTCACACAAAGTTCTCTGTGGGTCAGAGGAAAGAGTGTCTTAACTGTGAAAGCACTATAACAATTCAAGGTATGATGATTTTTTTTGCAGTAGATTTTCATTAAATGAATGTTTTGGAAAGAGTTATATGTGTTTTGCTGTAATTTTGGTTGTATTCTTTGACATTAACACATTTTGTATAATTGCATCACATAGCTATACTGAACCCATTTAGTATCAAAATTTAATGCAATGTAATTTTGTAAATTGATTTAAATCTATTTTAGTCACTTGTCTGGAAAAACATTGCTAGATGCTAATAATTCAGTGCAAATTCTTTGCTTACTTGCTTACAAAGGGTAGTACTCAATTGAAGAATGTATTTATACAAATTGACTTATTAACACCTGATATGTACATCCCATGTAACAGGCATAAAGATCATAAAGAAATAATATGGCAGAAAAAGATCTATGAGCACAATCATATTTTCTTTCAATTCTTGAGACTCCCCAAACATTATAAGCTAAAAAAAGCAATTTTTCTCTTTAAAAAGACAACTTGGCCAGGCGCGGTGGCTCACGCCTGTAATCCCAGCACTTTGGGAGGTCGAGGCGGGCAGATAACGAGGTCAGGAGATCGAGACCATCCTGGCTAACACGGTGAAACCCCGTCTCTACTAAAAATACAAAAAAAAATTAGCCGGGCATGGTGGCAGGAGCCTGTAGTTCCAGCTACTCTGGAGGCTGACGCAGGAGAATAGCGTGAACCTGGGAGGTGGAGCTTGCAGTGAGCCGAGATCATGCCACTGCACTCCAGCCTGAGCAACAGAGTGAGACTCCATCTCAAAGAAAAAAAAAAAACTTAAGGTACTTCTCTTATTACTGTTTATGACACTGAAACATACGACCATATTAGTTGATTCTTTTTCAGATTCAGGGGTGTGGTTTTCAAGAGCACCCATCTGCACCCACCATCTCATAAGATAAATTACTGAGAGTATAACATGGTTGTGATAAATTATAGAGTATCTGTGGCAACAGTAGATTATGCCCTCATGATATTTATGTCTCTATCCTTGATGTGTGTACAAATATGTGTTTAGGAACATATGCGTAGACATCCTTTAAAAACATGCCAGCATATTGTGAAAGAAAAAATATATGATTATCATCAGAGAAGATAAAAGGTGAGAAACAGTACCACATGCATCCTAATAGAACTGCAGGCTGTTTTAATTTTAATCAGTTTCAGCCTTCTTCGTTGAAAACAGAAGTAAATCATGCAAGGAACTAATTCATACTGGGAGAGACAGCAAAGAATGCCAATAAAATTTATTTGTAAAAAAAATTACTACAAAAATATTTCTACCACATTTCCAGTTTTATTCTAAATAAAAGAATAGAGGCCCTTTTCCAGGAACATTTTAAAAGGAAATAGCTTAAAGGAAACTTTTATTTCTGCTTTTTATACAAATGGCTGGGTCTCATTTATTATGCATTAATTTGCAGACAAAACCCTGGTTCTCTGCTCAAGAAAAGGCTTGACACAAGCAACATGGTGGTCTATGAAAAAGAAGGCTATATGATCCCTAATTCTGCCTGTGTTCAACACACGCACATTACTGTTCACCCCACTGATAACAAAGATCAGATGTTCCTAGTGCACAAGTTACACTCTTTCACAGAAGCTCTCCATACCTGTGCCCTAGAATTCACAGGCAGTTATTTCATTCATGTGTCTCCTTTTGGAACCTGGGTAATTTAACGAATCCAGGATCCAGGGTTTTGTTTTGTTCTTTACATTTTGGCAACTGTATTACCATCCTAATCGGACTCTAATATATATCCTACCTATGCCCATTTACCTTCTTTGATGGGCACACCAAGAGACATATGACAGAGGAAGAGGTCTGATTTCCTTCAAGTGCTGTGGACATACTCCAAATTGTCATTGTTTCCTCAATCTGTTATCCATGAGCTTATCTAAACTTTTAGTAAACCTATTTATATTTTCAATCTGCATCACATCTTAGGATAATGCACTCCACAAGTTTCTATTCATTGTAGACCTCTTTTAAACTTCTGCAAATGCCCTAAGTCCTAGTATGCCAGGATTCAATAAATCAGAAAGCATAGTTTGTATGATATTATAAATTTTATTCACATCCCCTTTCTCAGTCTTCTTCCTTTGTCAATAGCCCCCCCTTTTGATGCTACACTCAGAAAAAATATATTTAATGATTAATTCTCCAACTTAAGCTAATTATTATTCTTTTGTTCATGTTAGTTAACTTTCTCTGTACCCTCTCACTTTAATCATGTCTTCATTGAGGGCTGCTGACCAGAATTGCACATCATGTTCCTGGTGCAGGGCATTACAAGGTAAAAAGAGAGATTGTTTATTCTAAAACAATTTCTAAGCAAGCCTGGAAGTGATTAAGATACTTGTGGAATCACCATATACACCGGAATGAAGAAGGGCTTTGGGTGAAATGGTGCTTGTCAGTGAAGATAGGGTGCAGAGGTGAGAAGCGCTCTGCCCCTGTCAGGTTCACCTCATCTTAATCCTGGGCTGCTTTGCTCACTGGACAAGCTGTCACATCAGTTTCCCCGGGGGAAGGACTCATCACACAAGGTCCTGAAATACCGAGACTTTCTTTGAAAGCAGAATTTTCAAATAACTTTGCAAGACAAACTAAAGTACAGCAGCAAAAGGGAAAGGAGAAGACACTGGGCTATTTGTCCATTTATGCTGACATGAAGCCACATTCCAAAATGATTAGCCATTTGTAAAATATCCAATAGATCGTCAAGGGCATTAATCCTCTGGAAAGCTAATTCAGAAGGTTTCTTGGCAAGTATAGAATCAAAGCAAAGATGTATACATGGTATTGATGAAAATTTTTAAAAATGTTAAATTAATCCCACTGCAGAATATAATACATCAGTGTTACTGCCAGACAACTTGTGTTCATCAGATACTATTTTTTAGAGACTGGAGCAATACTGGATAAGCACTTATTAGTTATTAAATTCCAGTTCTCTTTTTTATGCAAACTCAATGAAGACATTCCTTTTCAATGAGTTTATAGAAAAGAAGACAAATGCCTGGCTCACATGCTGCCATTTTTCAATTCCTCTACCCATTAAAACCCCTATAAACAGAAGCAGCCCTGAGCTAGAAGGTAGCTTCAGAATATTTCTTAACACTATGTTTTTGATAATCATTACAAATCAAATCTAGTTGAAAAATAAGACAAAATCTATTTGCTATATATTCAGTTAGAAAGCAATTAACTAGACTTCAACTTTCTTCAGTTATAGTCTAGATCCAGAGATACATTCTGGTTACTCAAGACAGACTAGAAAAACACCTGAATTGTATGTATAAGCATGCTTTCAAGATTCAATTTTTTAAACTACTCTGCATTTTGTCAAATCTAAGATGCAGTCATTCCTCAAATGCATCATCATTTGCATGTGCTGCTGAAGAAGAAAAATGCTACTAATTAGTTGGAAGGCCACAGTAAATGTTAAATATACCCTTATTCAGAGATGTTAAAATGTAGGCTGGGCACAGTGGCTCACGTCTATAATCCCAGCACTTTGGGAGGCTGAGGTGGGTGGATCACCTGAGGTCAGGAGTTCAAGACCAGCCTGGCCAACGTGGTGAAACCTCATCTCTATTTAAAACACAAAAATTAGCTGGGCATGGTGGCAGGCACCTGTAATCCCAGCTACTCAGGAGGCCGAAGCAAGAGAATCACTTGAACCCAGGAGGCAGACGTTGCAGTGAGCCAAGATTGCGCCACTGCACTCCAGCCTGCGTGACAGAGTGAGACTGTCTCAAAAAAAAAAAAAAAAAAAAAGTGGAGGAAATACATCTTGAAATTTGTAAAACAGCATTTCCATTCTCACTGTATTGTTCTTGAATCAATCTCAAATTCTGAGAGGACTCTGCATCCAGGGGCCATACTCTGATTTCCACAGAGCCTCAGGCTGTGCCAAAGGCAGCTTCAAATCAGTGAATGTTGGGAAACTGTATCTCTACCAGGTAGCCTCATACTCTAAAGTAGGGGATGTGCAGGGTCTTATGTGTGGGAAGGCTTCTGGTTGAGCACAAACCAAAGAGAGTCCTAAGAAGAATATTTTCAGCTGGGTGCAATGTCTCACGCCTGTAATCCCAGCACTTTGGGAGGCCAAGGCCAAGGTCAGGAGTTCGAGACCAGCCTAGCTAACATGCTGTCTCTACTAAAAACACAAAACTTAGTTGGGCGTGGTGGTGCACACCTCTAGGCCCAGCTATTCCAGAGGCTGAGACAGAATTGCTTAAACCCAGATGGCAGAGGCTGCAGTGAGCTGAGATGGCGCCACTATACTCCAGCCTGGGCGGAGCAAGACTCTGTCTCAAAAATAAAAACAAAAAAGAAAAAAAAGAAAAATATTTTCTAGAAATATCACTTAAAACAAGGAATCAGGAAACAATCTAGCAGGCTTAAAAGAACCGCTGGTTATGAAGTAGTCCTTTCAGCCACATATACATGTGTAGATAACATAGTCACCATCAGATATATCATCTTTAAATTCTAAAAATCAACAATAATAAAAGCTATACACATTTATGTGACACATAGGTCCTGGGACAACGTGTCACTCTTTATCTTGGTTCCTAGATTCATCCAGTTGAAAGGGCTAAAATATTCTATTCTGGCATATTGACTATTTAAGTTAAGAACACTTGAAAAAACAGCTAGTGCAAATAGATCACTTTGACCTTCACGCTGTTTCTCAAAAACAGAAGATGACATTTCCATGTGACAGACACTCCTCCTATCCTAAGAATGAAAAGCAACATCCTTATCTTCAATGGTGAGTAGCTGAGACCAAGAGAATATTGTATAGACCTTGTTAGAATAACTCTTAGCTTTTAATCCTTCCTTAGTCACTTTTTCACAGTTCCCTATTCTTTTTCCAATCCACTATATAAGTAACTGACTCTAACTGCTTCTTTGGGTCATCATTTCTTTCTCTTTTATTCATTATATATCTATATATGCAATTTTTTGTAGAAACAGTGTCTTGCCTTGTTGTCCAGGCTGCTCCTGTCCTGGCTTCAAGCGATCCTTCCACCTCAGCCTCCCAAAGAGCTGGGATTACAGGCATGAGCCACTACAGCCTGCCTGGGTCTTCATTCTTTATGAGGACTCCTGTGCCAAGTAAAATCTGTATTATGCTTTTCTGCTATTAATCTATTTTATGTAATTTAACTCTCAGTCCCAACTGGGACCCTAAGGGAATGGAGGTGTTTTTCTGCCTCGACCACCTCCAGCCTGCCCCTGCTACCCTGGACTTTCTCCTAGCATCGTTCCTGAAGCCAACAGGCCCTCTTGTCTTGTGTCCAGGTTAAATGCTCTGCCAGGCACTCTGGTATCAATTTAAGATCAAATGCTGACTTACCTATTTGGGCATAACCCAGGTTAGCCTCCTGCGATCCCACTGCTCCTTGATTGATCAAGGAACTTAACCATTTTCGCATATTTCTGTACTCTTTGAACATATCTATAGTGTCCAAAATGCTTTCTGCCTTTCTTCTAGATCCAAAAAAAAAAAATCATTTTGTGCATCTGAGAAAAAACATCCCTACAAAGCTCTAGAAAGAGGTCCAGAAATTCACCTTGTCAATTATATCTAGAACTAGTCTTCCTACCTCCCAGGAATGATGTTCGTCTCTGTTCAAATGGGTAAGGTAATATTTTACTTAAGAACAAAAGGAAAAAAGAAAGAGCTATTATTCCATACATACAACTTAATATAAATGAACAAGTATCTTCAATCCTTTCTTTAGCAGTCAACAATAAAGCAAATCAACTGCAGTTAAAAAAAAAAAAAACCTCTGTTTTTATACAATAGTTTGCTTCTAATGATGTGGTACTATTCTACGGTTGAAACTGATGTTTTCTATATTTCACAACATACAACTTATACCACTATTGACTGAAAATGGGGCCACTCTTCCTTGATGGAATTAGAAATCATGATCCTCACTTATGTTAGACATTCTTCATTTGCCTCTCCAAATCCGCTCTTTTCTATTCTTTCAACCTGGCTCTGTTCCCAGAAGGCTGAATTCTAAGAACTTAATCAACTGTACTTCCTTTTGCTTTCTGGCTTCCTATTGGGTTTAGCCAATGGGAAGCACCTACAAGAATTCAAAAGGCAGCCAGGCATGGTGGCTCACACCTGTAATCCCAGGACTTTGGGAGGCCAAGGTGGATGGATCACCTGAGGTCAGTAGTTCGAGACCAGCCTGGCCAACATAGTGAAACCCCGTCTCTACTAAAAATACAAAAAGTTAGCCAGGCGTAGTGGTGTGCACCTGTAATCCCAGCTACTCGAGAGGCTGAGGCAGGAGAACTGCTGGAACCCGAGAGGCAGAGCCGAGATCGCGCCACTGCACTCCAGCCTGAGTGACAGAGTGAGACTCTGTCTCAAAAAAATAAAAATAAAAATAAATGGCCAATGATTACACTCGTCACTCATTGCTTCATTTGCTGTTTCACTCATTCATTACTCTACCAAATGTGTTTAGGGCCTGGTATTGGAGAGCACAGTGCTAGGTCCTGGAAATACAAAGTTGTAGAAGCCATTGTCCCTGCCTGAAAGCATCATTGTTAATTACATGGACCCTGTGAAGTTAATATTTTGACCATAGATGAAGGTTTCCTGTGCAAATACTTCTCAAAGGAACTAGCTTCCCTTTGCAACCCAGTAAAAACTGAACTATGAAGACCACTTTGAAACCACGTGCAATGTTTTACACCAAATAATGTAGCTTTCCACCACTAATACCTCTCGACTTAACGTTTTCCTTCTTCTTTCAACATTTCCCCTTTCTTTCTCTGATTTACACTTCATGGGTGGTTCTTGGTGGTATTTTCCCTTGCTCTAGATTTTACTGGAAGCTATTTCAAATGCTTCTTGAAAGAAGCTGAAGCATAAATAACAGAAAAACAGATTGCTTTATTTTTCCCCACTTAAATTTTATCTACCTTTGAAACTTCATATTGATAGACCCAGACAATTTTTCACTTAAATTAATTTTAAAAGGTCACAATTGTATTGGTACAGTATTAAAAATAGAAACTTCCATTTATGATTAAGAAGTCAATGATACACACACCAAACTATAAACAGTGTACATAGAGTGACGGGGGAAGGAGGGACATCCACTGTGGGCACTCACTTTCCATATTATATAATCTTCAAAATTTACAAGCAATTTTACTTATGTATGCAGAAAAAAAGACACATTTAAAAGAAGTAAAATAAAGAGAAGACATCCCAGTTTATCTTTGTTTTCCCATGTCACATGGTGGTCGAATATACATGTGGATTTAAGATATATAGGGTGGTAATTTGATTATTGAGTCATATGTGACCCAGCTGAATGAATGTAATAACAGACAGATGATGGTTTATGTCGTTGATATGAACTGATTTCCCTCGTTCCATATTTTAACAGCCCGTCATTTCCAGAATTGGCTTACGCCCTGAAAATATCCTCCACAGGGATGCAGTTTTGAGCCTAGGACATTCATTAACAGCTGGAAGACAGTTGGTGCCTCCAAATGATGAGGGCCAGCGGAAGCTGTGAGGATGGGCACCTGCCCTGGAGCCAAGCCTATGCTTCCCCGAGCTAGCAAACACCTTGCTCTGGCTCTCCCCTAAGCTCTTTTACATATTAAATTTTAGAAGCAACTCTAAAAAATGACAATTCAGTTGAAACAGTCTTCATATGTAGAGGCCACATTGTAAGACTTCTTTTTTTCTTTCTTCTTCTTTTTTTTAAGACAGAGTCCAGCTCTGTTACCCAGGCTGGAGAGCAGTGGAGCAATCTCAGCTCACTGCAACCTCCACGTTCCGGGCTCAAGTGATTCTCCTGCCTCAGCCTCCCAAGTAGCTGGGATTACAGGCGTGCATCACCAGGCCCAGCGAATTTTTGTATTTTTAGTAGAGATGTAGTAGAGATGGGGGTTTCGTCATGTTGCCCAGGCTGGTCTTGAACTCCTGAGCTCAGGTGATCTGCCCACCTGACCTCCCAAAGTGCTGGTGTTTATAGGTGTGAGCCACCGCACCCAGCCTATAAGACTTTATTTTATTTTTGTTTTTGTTTTTGAGGCAGAGTCTTGCTCTGTCACCCAGGCTGGAGTGCAGTGCAGCGATCTCGGCTCACTGCAACCTCTGCCTCCCAGGTTCAAGCGATTCTCCTGCCTCAGTCTCCTAAGTAGCTGGGATTACAGGCGCCTGACAGCATGCCCGGCTAATTTTGTATTTTTAGTAGAGACGGGGTTTCACCATGTTGGCCAGGCCTCGAACTCCTGACCTCAGGTGATCTGCCCACCTCGGCCTCCCAAATTGCTGGGACTACAGGCGTGAGCCACTGCACCTGGCCCCCGTAAGACTTCTTAATGTTTAATATGAGCCTGAGTTAGAGCATGGAACATGGGGAAGGGTACAGCATGGAGAGCATTATTTTCAAATTCCTAGGCCACTCTTGTCAGAACAATTACACAGACTAATAAAGCAACGTCTCTCTATTGCAGAATAAAATAAAGTCTCCATAAAATATAAAATTAACGTAAAGTATGTGAATAATGAAATATTGGGGTTCCATGTTTATTTTCTGATGGCATAAAAAATTTGAGCTGTTTGTAACATTAAACCCCAAAGACCTAATCAAATAGATATCTGAGTAACTCAGACATTGTAAGTAATTTCAGCACTGTAGCACTGTATTTGCCAGAAGATATAGTCAATACTTGCACCACGCTGAGATATCATTTAGTCTATAACTTAAACAAGCATTGATAAAGTTTTTTACAGAAGATGCTATCAGCAAAATAAACAGAAGACTTTGTATTACTTCAAAGCTTATTTATAATGTGTTTAGAAAAAATTCAATGGAAACAGGAAAATAATGTCTTGATTTTCTAAACTTTACAACATCTGCTTTTACTTACTTTTCAACATTGTAAAGTTCTCTGGATTTTAAGTGAATTACTTTGCTTTCTCTTTGTCTATCCCTTTACTTGACTACCTTCACACTAGATTATACACGCGGACACAACCTATGACTACATGAAAATCCGTATGTTATGTATAACAATTGAATTTTAGAACACGTGACATAGAACATGGAAAGACACCTCAAAAGAAAGGTAAGGTAGATAAGGAGCAGACCCCTCTATAAAAATACTCAAAACATTGTATCATTCTATTTCATACTACCCTACACTGGGTAATTTACATGTCATTAGCAATCTTAGATGGGTAGTTGTAAAAATATTTCCTAAAGAAAAAGACTTTTACATATGTGTGTATACATGAGTATGTTTGCGTGCTTTGTCGAAATTCACATGAGAATATTAATATAATGGTCAGTAAATCCCTATAATATACAGTTTTTGGTTAAGGTTTTAACCAAAAACAAAATAAAACAAAAGGCACTAAAATCTGCTGGTAACAATATCCTTAATGTTAATCCACTCTGTGGGGCTTTTGCTTTCCTTCTTTCCAAATCAAAAGGACTTAAATCTATAGACATTTTAAAAATTTTTTTAAAATTTTTAAACGAAAGACATTTCTCTATGCTCAGTGAGAGTTACATTTCCTAATTTCTTAAAATTTGAGATTTAAGTTAATTTTACATAAACTAGAGACAGTGGATTTAAAAAAAGAAAGATGACATATTGCTCGTCATTCAAACACAATTTTATCCAGGACTTTCTTGAAAATCTTGTTGAGATGCTTTAAACATTTGTTGGTGGCTTCTTATGAAGCTGGTTTAAAGCCTGTGGTTATTTGTGGTTAATACACAAGAGGAAAAAAAGAAAAATATAGAGAAAATGGCCTTTAAGGCACACACTCCTGAGGTTTCACTGCTGGGTTAGCTGACATTCTTTCCTTCACTTCCCTAGTTGAGCTGACCTCAAAGTTCTTGGTGTCCAAGACTTCCAAAAGAATGCAAACCACATTATCTTCCCCACAGGGGAAAACAGAAAAAAACTTGGATGATACGTCAGGATAAGGAATAGGTCCACCACATGGTGGACCTATTTAAGAAGGAAGGAGAGTTCCACTGCAATCACACCGAAAATCAAGGTTTTGTGGACATGGATTTGTCCACATAAAAAAGAAGAGTGGTTTTGCCATTCAGTCAAAGGCCCTTAATAAGCAGTTAAAAAAAGAGCAAGTTGGGAGCCATTATTCTTAGTTTCTGCCACACACCTGTGAAATCAGATGCAAGACAGAATATAAAGATCCCTATCTCCAAAGGATTTGAAAAATGGAAAGATACTGGAAGGCAGTGGTATAAACGGGAAAAGAAACAAGGGCCTTCTCTCCATCATCAAATGTTGGCAACACTGCCTTTATGGTTGCTTTGATTATGCGTTATGTTCATAAAGTTTTAGCTAAGGATAATTTGTTGCTTTGGCTTTCCATTATTTTCCTTTTTTTTTTTTCTCTTTGCATGTTTTAAAATGGTTTGCATTCGAGAATCAATTTAACCACAACAGAACAGACTATGGTTTGGGATTTGTATGACTTCACTTGAGGTAAAAGTAAGCTAGAAATCAGTTCTAGGAAAGAAAGGAAAACCCCAGGCTCACAAGCATTTCTCTTTTCCTTAAAAAACTTTTTAAAGATGTTTTCATCTAATAGTTTCTTTAAATCATCACTTCAAAATGTAAATGTTTTAAATGTCAGTGCTCCACTGAGGGCCCCATCATAGGCCCTCTGTTGTTTTCATTCTATATACTTGCAGAACTTTAATTCACATCCACGTACAACTGGTCACCCTCACATTTTTGTCGTCAGCCCAGATCTGTGGACCTTTGGACCCACTTTTCTAACTGCCTAGTGAAGAACAGCCTACCTGGTATCCCACACACCCTCCAATGCATCATGTTCAGAACTGAACTCATTTCCTTCTTCCCTACCTCTCACCCCCACCCCCAAGGTTTTCCCTAATGCTCCTTGTCTTTGGTGTCTACCCATGTAGCTCAAATCACTAATCCAGGGATTTCTTTGACTCCTCTGTCTCATTTTATAAATAACCAAGTTCTGTCAATCTGCCTCCTCATTATCACTTTAACCTTGCTCCTATCCAATCCATGTTTCCTCCACACAACCCTTGGAGTTACCGGAGTGATCATCATAAAACACAAATCTGAACATGATGCTCCAGGTTAAAACTCTTCAGTAATTTCTCATTATCTTTATAATCCAGTCTAAATACCTTAACATGCCCTGAAAGACTCTTACTATCTAGCCTGTGCCTCCTGCTCAGACCAAAGATTTCGCTTGCTCTTCCAGTCACACTGAGCATCTTTCAGTTCCTGGAACCTGACAAACATTCAGTTGGAACATGCCATTATCACTGCCTATCCCCAATCCAAATGTCACTTTCTTAGTGCCATGGTCTGAAGGTTTGTGTCCCCGCCAAATTCACAGGCTGAAACCTAATCACTAAGGTAATGTGTTAGGATGTGGGGCTTGTGGTAGGGGATTAGCTCACAAGGGTGGAGCCTCATGAATGGAAAGAGTGCCCTTATAGAAGAGGCCCCAGGGAGTTGTTTTGCCCCTTCTACCCTATGAAGACCCAGCTAGAAGCTGCCATCTATTAGCCAGAAAGAAGGTCCATACCAGACACCAAAACTGTCAGTGATCTTGGACTTCCCAGCGTACAGAACTGAGAAGTACCTTTCTATTGTTTATAAACTACCCAGTTTATGGTATTTTGTTACAGCAGCCCAAACAGACTAAACTCGAGATATCTTTCTTTACTCTAAGTAAGATCAAGGCCCTGGCAATGCTCAAAGAAACCCTAACTTCTACTGTAGCATTCATCATATACTGTTGTAATTGTGCTCAGTGTCCCTGAGGGCACAGACTACTTTTGTCTTATTAACCACTCACGGCCAAGAGCGGTGCCTCATGCCAGTAATCCCAGAATTTAGGGAGGCTGAAGCTGGCAGATTGCTTGACCTCAGGAATTCAAGACCAGCCTAAGCAATATGGTAAGACCCTGTCTCTACAAAAAGTACAAAAAAACCATTTTAGCTGAGCATGGTGGTGTGCACCTGTGTTCCCTGCTACTCAGGAGGCTGAGGTGGGAGGATCGCCTGAGCCCAGGAGGTCGAGACTGCAGTGAGCCATGATCGTGCCACTGCACTTCCGCCTGGGTGACAGAGCAAGACCCTGCCTCAAAAACAAACAAACAAGAAAAAAACTACTACTTAGTACTTGGTAGGTATTTAATGAATACTAATTGAACAAATGAATGAATTTATTTGTATATGTCTTCTTTCACTAGGATGATAGGGCACATGATCAGCTGTATACTTATAAGTGACTGGCTCATTCAACACAGAGGCAATATGAGATTCCAGATAGAATTAAGATTCAGCATGCTCCATAATCAAGATATCTCATAGAATTTATGCCATCATTTGCCCTAAATTCTTCCCAGATAACAGGACGGTGGCAGGGTCAACTTCCAGGCCCAAATATACAATTGTCTTTGGCTAATCCAAAAGTTGTAGGTAGAATGAATAAATAAATTGTTAAATGGTTATCGACTACCTCTATCTATTCTCCTTAATCCTGTCACCTAGTTTGGAGAGAGGCAGGGGGATAGTCAAGATGCTATTAATCTGGAGAAATATTCTACCCATCCCCTGAATCTAATTTTAAGGGTAGTTACTACCAATGACATTATAAGACCCTGATCATGATCCCTGTAAAGTGTTTTTGTGAACTCTTCTCAACTTTATTTGGGAACGTGAGAAAAGCCGTAGGTTAATACAGGCATTACAATGTTACCTAAGTTAGAACACTTTTTAAATGGCCTAATCATCTCTAACACTTGGGTACATCTCCCCTAATGTTAGATGTAATATCAGATGTAACCTCTTGAGAGAGTTGTAATTGAGAAGATGTGTTGTTAGTGACACGTCACGGAAAATGACTCAACTGTGGCAAAGGTGAGTCTCAAGACATGATGCAAACAAAAGGCATGCCACCTACAGTGGCCTCACCTCATGACCAGCACTCAATACACTTACAGTGATTTGCTTCTTGTTTCTGTCTATCAGAATGTGGTTGTCTCCAAATGGTCCCTGTCTCCCAAGACTGTTGTATCAAACAGGAATTTCTGATTGGTTAATTTATAACTAAGGCCCACAAACAAAGAGGGAAATACTACATTATTAAGCCCAAAACCATTATTGGCTTAACAGTTTTGTTGCTTTATATTGCTTAGAGTGATAAGATATAGTAACAATTAGGAATTAAAATATTTGGATATTCTCTTTTATTGTGCACTTCAACTACCGAAGCTTCAAATCCTAGCATAGGAATTATACAGTAAGATGCTGCAATAAAGACAAAACTATGGAAAGAATTAAATCAACTCTGAATAAACATAAAAAGGCTCAGCGAGAATTGTTATATTCAATTACCACACCAGAATCTCTTCAGTACCTAAGTTGTCTTAGTAACAAGCTAGGAAACTATAATAAATGTAGCAAATCTTCCACATTGATAGAAAACTGTATAACCATATATAATAGTGATCACCTATAGAAGTACCCTTTCCAAAGATAGTGGTAAAAAAAGAAAATGTGGTACACACACACCATGGAGTACTATACAGTCACAAAAAAGGAATGAAATCATGTCCTTTGCAGCAACATGGATGGGGTTAGAGGTCACAATCCTAAGCAAATTAACACAGGAACAGAAAACCAAATGCAGCATGTTCTCATTTATAAGTGGGAGCTAAACATTGAGCACACATAGACATAAATATAGGAACAACAGACACTCTGGACTACTAGAGGGTAGGGGGAATGGGTTTAAGAAAAAACTACCCATAAGGTACTGTGTTCAGTACCTGGGTGACAGGATGACAGGATCCATACTCCAAACCTCAGTATCATGCAATATTCCCATGTAACAAATCTGCATCTCTAAACATATATACTCTGTATCTAAAATCAAAGTTGAAATTTTTTAAAAACCTAAAAAAGAACATTAAGCATTAGGCACTATACAAATCATTTTTAAAAAGAGAGAGTGGGCTTTACAGGGACACCATCTATTTCTCCTTTTGTCTTCCTAAACCTTTAGTCCTCAGAAATGAAAGGGGAGTGATAATACCTGATGGTTATGAAGAATGAATTAACTAGAATATATAAATGTCCTAGCGCACAGTGGAGTGCCTAGCCCATAGCAAATATTCAAAAAATGTTAGTTCCTTTCCTTCTTCCTTTTCCCCACCCATCCTGAAGTACCTATTTTCCCATGTGGAAATCAGATGGCCACTGGACAAAAGACAAATCATTCAGATCTAATATTAGCAGATCCCTTTCTGTAGGCTCCTCTTCACAGTAGTTTGGCCTATTATTTTTCCAATGGAAATTAGGATTTTTTTAAAGTGTTTCTTCAGTAATACTAAAGAAGGATATTTTGAACTTTGCTTTCAACACTGCTATAACTCAGTAAAGCAAACTAAGTAAACCTAATTTTTGCAGTAGATATTTCTACAACTACCACATCTCTATCTGAACACAGCATTAGTATTATTGTCTAAAGTTCATTCCACATTCACACACCAGGAAACGCTCAACTGTAACTGTCTCATCAATTTCAAGTTTAAATCTATCCTAACTGACTTAATAAATCAAATTGTTCACAGCTGAGAGGCAGGAGTTTTGTGTGCTCTGGTTTATGCTGAATGTAAGCTCTGAGAATAAAAGAGGTATAATAGGATGAGAATCAATTATTTCTATCCACCCAGTTAAGTGAATTCACCAATTGCTTTTTCATTAAGTGAATTCACCAAATGCTTTTTCAGTCAACAAGCATTAAGAGCCTATTATTTTCCAGGTATTGATACACTATTCTAGGGTATGTAGTTGCAGCTATATACTTCTAGGGTTGATTTACAATGCAGTATCTGAACATGTTCATAGTTTTATCTAATAATTATTACTCACCATGATTCTTCTCTTTAACAACAATAACAATAACACACGTTCAGTGACTACAATAATGCCAAACACAGTGCCAACTGTTTTATCACATTTACTCTTCATAACATTTATATACGGCAAGGATTATAATCACCATTTTACCAGATGAGGAGAAAAGATGCGGAAAGGATATTTAGCTTGCCCAAGGCCACCCAGTCAATAACCACGAAAGCTGAAATTTAAATGAAGTCTGTCTAAAGTGTCTAAAGTACTGTCTCTAAACCAGTGCTACTCAAAGTCTGGTCTCCATAGACTGGAAGCATCAGCAGCACCTGGGAGCTTGCTAGAAATGCAGAACCTGCTGAATCACAGTTTTAGGGAGCGGGACCCAGCCATCTATGTTTAACCAAGCCCTCCATGTGACTCTTACGCATGCTGAAGATTGATAAGCACTACTCTAAACCACTACACTATACATACTACTCGGTCTCCCTAATTCATAACTTACTAATGGTGTTAAGTCAGATTATTGCTCACTTGCATTTAATAAATGCATTTAGCCATCATCACCGTTGACTTTTTGGTCGAATTCTATGGTTAGTTAAAATTCAACTCTGTGCCATATCCTTTAAGCATGGTGACTATTCATCCTAATCTTCCTGGACGGTCCCATTAAGCCTGCTGTCACGATGTAATTATTAACACTGGTCTCTTTCACTCTCAGAAGTGCCACAGCTTGAACCATTAATCCTGTGGTGGTCCCAGCTAAAAGGCACTATTATAAGGGCAGTCCCTCCCCCCACCTTATGTCCTACCATGCACCCTCACCTCTATGCTCTAGCTACAATAATGGCCTTCTCTCGGTTCCTTAAAAATCTCAAACTCGCTTGTGATATAAGGTTTTAGCATTTCTGTTCCCTCTTGTTAGGAGGCTCTTCCTCTAGATCTCAGATGATATACTCCTCCTTAATGGTACCTGATGATGAACTGGTGGTAGGGGCAGTCGGCCCTGCTTATAGGCAATTTTGAGATGTACTGTTGGTAGAGAACTGTAAAACAGTGACAAAACCAACTTGAAGTCAGTTCAGTCTACTTTTTATTTTTCACTCTGCACCAGCAATTTTAAATAATGTTAGTGATAAAATGTTATTTCTACCAAAATATGTTGTTTCTAACAAAACATGTTTTTCTACCAAAATATGTTGTTATTTGTCCTTCCATAAACATTATATTCTACATGAAAGCTAATTTGGAGAACTCTAGTTATATAGTCGGTCCCCAACAGACACAGTCATAAATACTTGAATGCATTTCAAGAGTAAGTTCCTAATCGATTCAGAATAGTTACAAGTCACTTTGGGTACAGTTTGTGTCTCCAACTCCTTAGTTGCTATAGACTACATAAAAAACAGATTTAAAATTCCTACACAAACAATAGATTCAAGATTGTGTAGTACTGGCATAAGGACAGTCATATAGGTCAGGATAGAATTGAGAGTCCAGAAACAAACCCCAACTTAAAAGTGCTAATCTATTCCTTTTTCCTTTATTGTACCATAATGTTTATTTTATTTTTACCTTTTACATCAGTTTTGTAACTGGCATGATAATACACATGAGGTTCAATAAATTCTTTTTTCATTGTCTGGTTTTTTTTAACTGGGCTTTATTATCATTCTTCTTCTTGCATGATTATTACTAAAAATAATTGTGTCTGAAGTGGAGAGGGGTGTTAACAATTATTTATCCTATGTGTCAAAATACAAGAAATGCCACTGTTGCTCCTTATTATTTAGATTTTTGCTCAAATAGTGGCATCTCAGAGACGCCTCCCCTAACCACTCTATTTAAAACAGACAACACGCCACGCTCGTTGGATGACATCAGTTTTTGCCCCATTCCCCAGCCTTATTTTCTCCAACTCTATGATTATCTGATGTTAGATTATTTATTTATTGCTGTTAATTCATTAAAGAGTTCTCTGTCTTGCTCACCCCTGTATCCTCAATGTACGGTAAACATTCTATCAATATTTAGTGAACAAACCCTAAAAACTATATATATTGGTTCAATTTATTCACATAAAAGTTTATATAATTTTATCTTTGTGCATAATTTCTGTTTTTCTCATCAGTGAGATGAACACATTGATTCTCAATCCTCTCAGCAGAGTATTTCCTGTATGGACATTGTATTCTGCTAGAAACTTCAAAGATGTCAGAATAATCAAAATCTCTTTGTCTAGGAGTTTGAAATTCAAAAAATTATGTATGACATTTTATACCTTTGCATTATCTTCAATGAGCATTATGAGCTGTAATTCACTCGACTGAAGTGTAGATTATCCCAGAATTAATTATTCCAGTCTAGTGATAAAAACCAGCCTCATTTATTGAACCTAAATATTGCTGGACTTTGTTAAGTAGACTTCAAAACACTTACTTCTGAAAACTTGGCCGGCCGCGGTGGCTTACGCCTGTAATCCCAGCACTTTGGCAGGCCGAGGCAGGCAGATCACGAGGTCAGGAGATCGAGACCATCCTGGCTAACACGGTGAAACCCCATCTCTACTAAAAATACAAAAAATTAGCCGGGCGTGGTGGCGGGCGCCTGTAGTCCCAGCTACTCCGGAGGCTGAGGCAGGAGAATGGCGCGAACCCAGGAGGCGGAGCTTGCAGTGAGCTGAGATCACGCCACTGCACTGTAGCCTGGGCAACAGAGCGAGGCTCCGTCTCAAAAAAAAAATGAAAACTTGACAAATTTTTATAGAAACTACTTTGGGGGCCTGGGGTTTTTTTTATTATTGTTGCTTCATCTCCTTTTTAAAATAATAATTGTATTTTTAAAACAAAGTAGAACTCTGTTATAATATGGTTCAATATTACAACTGTTTGGCTAGGCCACAGGTCAAATCCCATTCCCTCCACAGTATGACAATCACACATGGTATAAACTTGACCATACTGCTAGCCTTCAACTCCTTTGTTAGTCATGTGCTAGGATATGAGAGTTAAGGTAAAAGGATATTACTATGTGTATAGATATGTTTGTGTAATAGTCATGTTAGGCTTCTCAACATAATGAAATATTCTTTGGAACATTGTTCCAAAGAGTCTTCTGAATAATAAATGCAGTAAATTTAGGTGTTTGTATAAGGATCCTCAACTACTTAACCAAACTAAAGGCTGGATTGTAGAGCCTTGAATCTGCAGATAGAATGCCCATATTCACATCTCCAATGTACCACTCACTAGCTGCATGACACTGGCCAAGTTACTTATCCTCTCGATACCTCCATTTTATTGCCTTTACAATGCGGATAATAATAGTACCCACATCAAGAGATGGTGATAATTGAATGAGTTAATCCATGTGGAGTACTTAGAACAGAGCTTGTTACACGGAACACTACCAAAAAGTGCCAGCCATTGTTTTTGAGTTGAAAGGGAAAGCCACTTAAAATTAGTCTTAGTTATCATAATACATCAATTAAAAATAAAAGGATACAATCTCATACATTTTAATGTAAAATTAGTAGGAAGACTTTATTTCAGCTTCAAGCTTTCCATGTATAATTATATTTTATTCACACAAAGAAATGACTTTGTGAGGGTAAAATTTGTGCAGAAGCCTAATAGATGCAAGATTGTTTTCTTATACTGTTGTAACCTAGGAGAAAAAAGAGTCCATGGCCCTCCTGCTAAGTTTAGACTAGACGCTTTTCGTGAACAGTCACATCTTTCTTCATTAAACAGTTTTTTAATGGCCCTTTTGATGACTGCTAGTTTCCTCCACAATAAAAGAAGTTCTGACCTGTGAATTCATTTTTTCAATCCAGTAACAATTTTGAATACATTAACTAAGCATCATGGACCAAATAAGGAGCCAATTAGTCGTATTTTCCATCATCTGAATAAAATAAGAATAAATCAACTTCATCACTAAACTTAAAAGGTTGTCTTCCTTGGCAAAGAAGTCTATTTTGTTCTGCCAACTCAAGTTCCTTTTGGAGAGTAAGAAAGTTGGGTTATCTGTGACCTGAAACCAACTGGGTTTCATTTTCCTTTTCCCTTTGGGAAGGCTAGTCAAGGGAGCTGGTACCATTCTGCAGTAGCACTACACCCAAGATTACTTTAAAAACTTCTTAGAGCACTAACTAAAAATTATAACCCCACACAGTATTTATTTTCATAAGTAGATGCTATTTATTTTTCCTTCTTCATTTATTCTTTATTTTCCTTTCTCGCTCATCTAGATATTGGGATGATGTGACGAACGCATCTACTCACCAAGCTATCATCTTTGGTAAATAGACCTCACAGATAATCAACTTATCAGCTAGTTACAACAAGCCAGAAAAGAGACAACCATGAGTGAGTCTGTAATCTTAGTGCAAACACTCTCCAACCATGTTTGTTTTTTGTGAAAGTGCATCCTTTCCCCTCAAGCATTTAGTTTTTGGTAGAGGTCAGCTTAAAAATATTGCAAGAAACACACACACCAAACACATCACCATTGTGTGCCTCTTGAGTGAGTGGGTACATCAAGCCTAACAAGAAATAAGGTTCATCCTGCAGATGTTTATTGGAAAAGGACATCTAATCTTTGACATTTTCATGTGCACTTTTGTGGGAAGGTGGTTTCAAAGGAGAAAATGAAATACAACTTGTAACTTGAAATGTGTCACTATAGCTTGGGAGATTTTTATATCATAAAATTAAAAATAAAATTGGGATGCATTATGTATTTACAATCAAATGTTTAAATGTATATACAGTATATTTTTCCTCTTAAAATTGTATCTTTAGAGTCAGATGGCCTTTCATTTTCCTAATTATTTGCTTACATTGTTGGTAATATATCATAATGCATACAAGCTCTAAAAATATCCTGTACTGAAAATATTTCTACAGCTGTTGCTTTTATAGGATTCACTTTTAAAGAAAGTAGAGGAACAAGACACCTAATTATACAAAGTAAAGATAAGTAATAAGCAATTTTATGTTTAAAAGCTGCTAATTAACTGGGCAGCAATTAAAGAGACTACAAAAACCTCAGTTTTAATACTCACAGGTTTTTATTATGAATATTTGTTCTGGTGCATATTTTTCTGTCAGACTAAGTCTCCAAGTGTGGAATGGCCTCCTGCCACGTATCTAAAAATCGATTGTTCAAAAATCTTAATTATAAGAAAGTAAACAAAGAGTGGGTTGAAGCAGTGCAGAGTTCTAATGAATTAATGTAACAAAATTCAAGCAAAGTCAACTGTCTTTAAAGCCAGCAGGCTCAGCTCTGACAGTCATCCATCAAACTGAAGGTCTCCTTAATAAATGCCAATTACAGGGCATATATGCACAAACGTGGCTAGCATAAGCCATAGGATCATTTCCTTCTGAGAAAATTAGTAACCAAGAAAACACCCAGGCAGTGCAAACGACCGGCCCACCCGACAGTAAGGCTTGTCCCTGATCAGAATACTAACCAGCATTATTTCTTTCTTACTCTCTCTCTCTCTCTTTTCAACTTAGGAAAAGTTCAGAACCACACAGAATTTTGTTTGGGGTTATACAAATTCCTTCACAATTTGTATAGAAGTCTAACATAACTTTTTAAAAGCCATGACATGCCCATAATGTATACAGAGTCTCTGACTTCCGCCGTAAGCGAGGCTTTTTCCTAACTTAATCATACTCAAATTTCACCCCTTTTAAAGATCCTGATTCAAAAATGTTCACTCATTCTCCACAGTCCACAAATTTATACCATCTCTTCCTGTGGTATTTTATGTGCATAAATTAAAAAAGAATGGCCTCCAATGAGGATTAAAAGGTTGAAAAAAATCATAGACTTTCTAAATTTAGGTTCATTTTTCTTATTTTAACTCTCAAAATATGTGTGTTAACAAAACATATATATATATATTTTCTACAGTCTTATGAAATAATCCTTTCACATTAACCTTCCTACCTAGGGGAAGTGCTGGAGCAACTCAGATAGGAAGTTACATCCTAAGTTTAAGACCATGTCACCGTGTAACCCAGCAAATATGAAAAATACATATAGGAGAACTCTTGAGAAATATCTAAAATATATTCCACTGGTATGTTATTAGCTCTTACTGTAGAACTCACACTACTATATGAATCCCAACTTTCAAAAACGTTTCTGCTGCCTTTTTTATTATCCACCTGGCCAGGCACTGAGCCCATCCCCAAACAGATTTCTTGGAGCCATTTGATGACATCAGGGGAGGGGAGGAGACTTTCTTAGAGAGTAAGGCCACGGATCTTTTGTCACAAGGCAAAGGCTCAAATTTTATACCACAGCTCTACTTCTTCAATGGGAATAGGTGGGTTTTCAAAAAGAAGGGCTGTGTCCTCCTATGATGACGGAGATAACTAATGGAGTAAATGAAAACATTCATGTTTGATATTTTTATGCAAATGGATTAAAATATTCTGCTTTAGCCCCAAGTTGATGTCTTATCTAATTGCCCTTTAAAGTGACATCTTCCATCGCACATGTGGACCCGTGCTAAATTCATTTATTTCATCTTGCCTGAAATTATGATGAATGGTCTAAGCTCTATTCAATTATTTAAAATGTGCAAAGAAACAGAAACAATGAAACTGGCAAACCCCTCTACATTCTTAGGAACAATTTAGGCTAATTAGCATCAACTTCTCCCCCATTCATCATACCCCTTTAGAAATATAAACAAACTGTCAGCTGTAACCTAACAAACAGATCACTGAGCTACTTAACACAAATTATTCTTACATGAAAAGCTCCTTCTCAGGCAATATTCTCCTTTAGGGCATCTGGGAAGCTGAGCTATTAAAATTGAAGACATATGTTCCAGTCAAACTCAACTCCTGGATTGTAATGATTGCTGTTGTGACAGTTTTCAGTCAGCATACTTGCTGCTGGCAACACAGCGCCAAGCTTGAGCAAAGCAAAAGTAAAACGGAATGATGCAAGCAGCGCCCTGGATGTGGAGGATGCCTCCTCGCACTTCCCATCGCCATGTAGTTGGTGGGTCTCAACGCTGGTGATATGCTGTTGCAGCTCAAAGCTATGCTTAGTTTGGTTTGGGGACAATAAAGGATATGAAGGTGACAAGACTGTGGATGTCAACGTGTTATTTTTCACTACATCCTATGAGGCTAGTGCTACTTAGCTTTCAATATTTCATTGAAGCCAATAAATCTTGGCCTATCATTTCAGAGAAGCTAGAAAAGATACAGTTAGAAGGGTCCCAGTTGAGAAAAACATAGCTTTCCAAAGATTAGGTATGTCCCTTCAAACAGTACTTAAAAACTGAGTTCTTTCCTTTCAATTAAGAGAAATAAAAACAACATGTTTACCCCTTTACATACTAGACCTCTGTGGGTAAAGCCCCGTCCTGATATTAAACCAAGATAGTGTTTTCTTTATTGTTTAAACATAGTCACATGTACAGTTGATTCTAATTATCTGCACTAGTTATGTCCAATAAAGTTGTGGTGGAAACTGCATTAGCCACCACTGAACCCACTGCTCCTAGGGAAAATAGGAGTTAAGTTCCTGTGTGTCTCTGGTGACAACATTTTCATCAATTGATCAATATATAATCTTATTTTATGTGTGTTTCTGTTTAAAGACACCTTACTTAATATATACTTTTGATTTATTAACATAGAACTCACAACCAACGGCACTATAACTCAAGCCTGAACAAAGCTTACCTGACACACAGATTTTCTCATAAGGCGCATCTTGCCTTTAGAAACAATAGACAATGGGCCGGGTGCGGTGGCTCATACCTGTAATCCCAGCACTTTGGGAGGTCGAGGCAGGTGGATCATGAGGTCAGGACATCCAGACCAGCCTGGCTAACATGGTGAAACACCATCTCTACTAAAAATACAAAAAATTAGCTGGGTGTGGTAGCACACACCTGTAACCCCAGCTACTCGGGAGGCTGAGGCAGGAGAATCACTTGAACCTGAGAGGCAAAGCTTGAAGTGAACCGAGATTGCACCACTGCGCTCCAGCCCAGGTGACAGAATGAGACTCAGTCTCAAAAAAAAAAAAAAGCAATAGACAACACTTCTGCACAATGGCTTGGGGGCCATTTTAAACAGTAAAATCATGAACAAAAAAGCCCCAACACATAGCACTAAATAGACTGCAAAAAGGACCTTCTTACAGTATGACAACGGAAACAGGAAGGCAGAGTATCACCTTGTTCAGCTGGGAACATGTGCATTAGATGATGCAAATTTTCCATCACTTTGCACACGTCTGTGAATGACTGAGAAAGAACCATAAGTATTGACTTGGGGGTTACAAACAAATTTCAGCAAGTAGGCAAATTCACAAATATGATATCTGCAAATAATGAGCATCAACTGTGTCTACATTCATACATATTTTCTCCTCTCTGATTTCCCACTGAAAGCCTCTGAGTTATTTCCCTCACTAAGCAAGGGTCAGCCAGGCGCAGTGACTCACGCCTGTAATCCTAGTACTTTGGGAGGCCAAGGTGGGCAGATCATTTGTGGTCAGGAGTTTGAGATCAGCCTGGGCAACATGGCAAAACCCTATCTTTACAAAAATACAAAAATTAGCCAGGGATGGTGGTGCATGCCTATAGTCCCAGTTACTAGGGAGGCTGAGGTGGGGGGATCATTTGAGCCTGGGATGTGGAGGTTGCAATGAGCCAAGATCGTGCCATTGTACTCCAGCCTGGGTGACAGAACAAGACCCTGTCTCTCTCATTTTTTTAAGTATAGCAAGGGTCTTTGTCTGAAAGCCTAGCCAAGTCTTCAGAAGCTAACTATAAAGTAGGGAGCCACAGAATTCCTTGTAACATGGTAAGCCAAAAAGCCTTTCAAATATGTTCCTTTTCTTTAGCATCCTAGAAATATAAACCTTAATGGCACCTATAGCTACTGCAGTAATAGTGTGAATGCACATTACAGCCAATCCTACACAGTACCATGTCTACACCCTATTGAAGCACTTGGATTACTGTTATTTGCTGTAGTGGACAGTAGTTGTTGCTGGCATCCATCTCCTCCGTCCTCCTACCTACCTAGGCTTCTGATTTCCCCCCAGTGTTGTTTAGGTAGGGTTTTCTCGAGGTGGATTATTGGCTTTTAAGCCAATTAGTGTATGCCATCCCTAAGCCACAGGGATTTCTTTAGGGATGAGCCTATGACTCTGTCTGGGCTAATGACACATAAGGAGATATTTGCTGAGCATTTCTGGAAAGAAATCGTTCCTCTCTGGGAGAACTATGGTGGAGCCAGCTTCAGGATGGTGCAGGCACTATGGAAAGTGGGGCGGAAAAACAAGGAAAATGGGTCCTGGGTGATATTGCTGAGCTACTGGAAAAAGACTCAAATTTATCCCACCTTTTTTTTTAATTTTTCAATTAAATAGATAATAAATAGTCTTCATTGTTTAAGGCAACATGGGTGAGGTTCTGTTTTTCTTGTACCCAAGAGAATTCTGATATATTTACATGCAGTTTTCCTGCCTGCTCCATGACATTTACACACCACACACACACACACACGCACATACGGGGAGAGAGAGAGAGAATTCCTTGAATTATCTTTTGTCCATCTTTTTTAAATGCTCTACTTCCTGCTATCATGACTGATGTATATATAGCAACTATTGATAAATATATTGAATTCAATTCAAGGGGGAACATCTTCCATGGATGTAAAATAATAAACAGTGTACCACATTAACCAGAGCAAGATTAGCTAAGATGGCTGCTATCATATTGCTGCCCACTGATGAAAACAAAGTTCTCATTATATTCACCTTAAGTATAAAGTGTTTCAAGGATAAAATGTTAATACATCCAATCAAGAACGATTTTTTAGTTTATCAAATAAAATTACAAATATAACATAATCTTTCTCCTGCTCACCCCACAATGCAGAATAATTTATGAATACTTTTTCTTTAGTATCCTTAACTCCAGTTTCTCTGGATTAGGATAATGAATAGAACTGAATGTTACCCACGCTTCATTCATAAATATAAAGCAATATGGCAACTTTTTAAAGTTTCCGCCTAGTCTTTTCTTTCTCTATGGGTGGTTTTCACAGCCATGATTATTTGTGGATGCAAAACTGTGTGTATAATAAATTGCAACTGCAACTGACTAACCTCAGAAGACTGACACGTGACTAATTACTCCCACAGGTGGCGAACTGCTTTGGCAATTAGCCCATTGTGGGCAAAATTCATTGCGTGTAAGAAAGAGGCTTCCTTTTCAAAATATCCACACCTACTTTTGGGGGATGAATGGAGGGGAGAGAACTAACATGGAAAAAAGTGGGGGGAGGATGAAGGAATAAGGGGCAGATGGAAAAATTAATGATTTCTTTAACAAACAAACCATTTAACCTGAATTTCTCTCCAACGTGGTGGGATTCTACCCAAACACCCTCCCAGCCCCCTTAAAACCTAAGTAGTAACTTAAAGAGAGATCTGGCCATTTGCTAACCATTTAAAATAACTCTAAGGTCATCTGGCATGATCCCATGTTTTCTCTTTAGCTTATCATATACATTTCAGAAAGGTTTGAGTGACACGGTGGCAATTTTGAAGACTCTATTTTAGCCCATTCCTCAGAGCATATAGCAAATAGCATAAATGGGTCATGTCTGAATGTACTTTTTAAAAGTTAATTATCTGCGGTTATGCAATGTCATTAGCTTCCTATTAAAATGTCCCTAAGCCCTAGATAACATTGCTACATCATAGCAATGTGAACAAGTGTGGAGTTTAGACTTTAAAGATTTCCTTCCATGACAGACTTTAATCAGGAATTAGATAATTTTTCTAAAGATCTAGATAGTCATCCTGTGATCAATCTCCGCTCACCAGAGTCAGGTCTCTTGGAAGATAAGACTAGTAGCATAGCAACAATCAGACACAAAAAGGTGCCTTACACACCAGACTTGAAAATAATTGGATTCTTTATTGCCATCCAGCTAAGATGATGCCTATTAATATGGAAAAAATTAAAATATTTGATAATGCCCAGTTTGACGAGAATGGGGAGATAACAGCACTCACATACTCTGTACTGAGAACAAAAATTGGAGGGAAGTTTGGAAGTATCTGTCAAAATGTAAAACCAAATGTGTTTGGCCCATCAATTTCTCCTCTAGGACAAATTGTGCAGCAAGTTTGTACACATACACATACATACTTACATTCACATTCACATATATATATATACAAATACACACAATCACATGCAAACATGCAGACTTATACACAGATACACACACGTGACTCTAGATGACTAGTCCATTTTACAGGGTGCTCACTGAAGCATGGTTGGTGATAGCCAAAAAAAAAAAAAACTGCAAACAAGTTAAATATCGCCAGTAGCAGCTGGCTGAATAAACTATGGTATATGGTATACAGAATGAAGTCAAATACTGGTACCCAGGATATAAAATTTCAGTTGGATAAGAGGAATAAGTTCACAACACCTATTGTACAACATGGTGGCTATAGTTAATAGCAGTGCATTGTGTTTTTGAAAATTGCTAAGAGATTAAATTTTGGGTATTCTCACCACACACACAAAAAAAAAGTAAGTATGTGAAATGATATATATGTTAATTGGCTTAAATTGGCCATTCCACAATGGCCATGATAAATAATGTACATGATAAATAAATGATTTTTATCAATTAAAATAAATAAATATTATTTTAAAAACATAAGCTCTATGAGAGTGGGAATTTTGTCTGTTTTGATCACTGCTATATCACCATGGTTTAGAATAGGTTTGTCACATATGTACTCAATAAATAGCTGAATTTGAATAACTACACTATTCGGCCAGGCGTGGTGGCACATGCCTGTAATCCTGGCACGGTGGGAGGCCAAAGAGGGTCCATCACTTGAGGTCAGGAGCTCGAGACCAGCCTGGCCAACATGGTGAAACCCTGTCTCTACTAAAAATACAAAAATTAACCGGGAGTGGTGGCACATGCCTGTAAGCCCAGCTACTTGGGAGGCTGAGGCAGGAGAGTCACTTGAACCTGGGAAGCGGAGGTTGCAATGAGCCTGGATTGTGCCACTGAACTCTAACGTGGGCGACAGAGCAAGACTCCATCTCGACAAACAAACAAACAAATAAATAAATAACTACACTATTCAGTAAAAACAAACTGCAGAAAAGGCATGAATAAAAAATATATAAATGCCTGGTATGGTGGCTCACACTTATTAATCCCAGCACTTTGGGAGGCTGAAGTAGGAGGATTGCTTGCTTGAACTCTGGAGTTTGAGACAAGCCTGGGCAACATAGCAAGAACTCATCTCTACTAAAACATAAAAAAGTTAGCCAAGTGAGATATCCTGTCTTTAAAAAAATGTATATATGTATATATATATTTATATACACACACACGCGCACGCACACACACACACACACACACACACAAAAAACACCTTGACCAGGTGATCAAAATTAGCATCATAAATGAGACATATATAAACATCATGGGCCTCAGGTTGTGGATATTTTAAAAGAACACATCACTTATGTATGTGATATTCCACCAAAGAATGCATTGTCAGTAGCTAACTAGGAAGAGACATCAGACAAACCCAAAGTGAGAAATATTCTATTAAATTGTTCAAAAATGTCAACATTATAAATAATAACAAAAGAGTGAAGAACAGTTCCAGATTAAGAGGGACTAATTGAAATATACCAACTAAATGCTATACATGACTCTAGACTATATAACAGGTACAGAGAGGAAAAAAATACTATAAAGTGCATTATTGGATCAAACTTATAAAAGTATTGCATCAATGACAAATGCATTGCCGTTTTATTGAAGTTGATAACAGAATTGTAGTTATAAACAGTCTTTTAGTATACTGTCTTTGTCCTTGATCTTTGAGATTTTGATTATTATATGCCTTGGGGTAGTCTTATTCGGGTTGAATCTGCTTCGTATTCTTTTACTTTCTTGGACCTGGATATTTATATATTTCTCTAGGTTTGGAAAGTTCTCTGTTATTATTTCTTTGAATAAACTG
The DNA here is from genome assembly GCF_000001405.40 of Homo sapiens. Taxonomy (NCBI): domain Eukaryota; kingdom Metazoa; phylum Chordata; class Mammalia; order Primates; family Hominidae; genus Homo; species Homo sapiens. The sequence continues at coordinate 37,096,453 of NC_000014.9, forward strand.
TCTACCCTGATCTCTTTTTCCTACATCCTCTTTAAGGCCAATAATTCTTAGATTTGTCCTTTTGAAGCTATTTTCTAGATCTTGTAAACACTTTGTTCCTTTTCATTAATTTCTTTTTTCTCCTCTGTGTATTTTCAAATAGCCAGTCTTCAAGCTCAGTAATTCTTTTTTTCTGCTTGATCAGTTCTGTTTCTGAGACACTGTAATGTATTTTTCAGTTTGTCAACTGAATTTTTTTCAGCTCCAGGATTTCTGTTGATTTTTTTATTATATCAATCTCTGTTAAATTTCTCTGATCGAATTTTGAATTCATTTTCTGTGTTATCTTGTAGTTGGTTGACTTTCCTCAAAACAGCCATTTTGAATTACCCGTCTGAGAGGTCTCATATCTCTGTCACCTCAGGATTGGTCAGTCGTAGCTTATTTAGTCTGTCTAGTGAAGTCATATTTTCCTGAATGTTCTTGATGCTTGTGGACATTTGTTGATGTCTGGGCATTGAAGGGCTAGGTGTTTATTCCAGTCTTTGCAGTCTGCCCTTGTTTGTACCTGTCATTCAAAGGGCTGGTTTTTTTTTTGTTTTTTTTTTTTGTTTTTTTTTGTTTGTTTTTGGTTCTTACGAAAGTGCTTTTTTTATTCTAACTTTTATTTAGTTTTTTTGTTTTTCTGAAACAAGGTCTTACTCTGTTGCCCAGGCTGGAGCGCAGTGGTGCTATCTCAGCTCACTGCAGCCTCCACCTCCTGGGTTCAAGAGATTCTAACGCCTCAGCCACCTGAGTAGCTGAAATTACAGGTGTGCACCACCCCACCCAGCTAATTTTTGTATTTTTAGTAGGGACAGCATTTCGCCATGTTACCCAAGCTGGTCTTGAACTCCTGAGCTCAAGCTATCTGCTCACCTTGGCCTCCCAAAGTGCTGGGATTACAATGTGAGCCACCGCACTCGGCCAAATGTGTTTTCTTGCGTTAAGGGTTGTTCAAAATTTGATGTTCCTGGGGGAGGTAGGCAATTGTTGAAGGGTTCTATTTGGCCATCTTGTTCTGCCTCATAAATATCCATATTCTCAGGAAAAACACCCTGAAATATTTAGGGGCAAGGCCTACAATGTTTGCAACTTAGTCTCAAATGATTCAGACAAAAATAATATCAGGCAGGGCGTCGTGGCTCACACCTGTAATCCCGGCACTTTGGGAGGTCAAGGCAGGTGGATCGCCTGAGGTCAGGAGTTGGAGACTAGCCTGGCCAACATGGTGAAACCCCATCTCTACTAAAAATACAAAAAATTAGCCAGGCATGGTGGCAGACACCTGTAATCCCAGCTACTCAGGAGGCTGAGTCGGGAGAATTGCTTGAACCCAGAAGGTGGAGGTTGCAGTGAGCCGAGATCGCACCATCGCACTTCAGCCTGGGCAACAAGACTGAAATTCATCTCAAAAAAAAAAAATAATAATCAATCAATAGATGGATGGATATATAGATAGGTAGCTATAGAGAAGAAATGATAAAGCAAATGGGGCAAAATGTCAACAGCAGTGAATCCAGGTAAAAAGTTCCTTTTACGGTTCTTACAACTTTTTTGTAAGTTTCAATGTTTTTCCAAATAAAATCTTTTTTAAAGATATACATGCAATTTCAGGAAGTGTATACCAAAAACAATTCACAGTATTTACCTCTAGGGAATGGGGATAGAGGGTTTTTGAGCAGGTGGGACGGAGTAAGATTGTTGAGAGGCAGAGGGACTCAGCTTTCATCTAATGTCTTTCTCTACTGTCATAACTTAGCCTGAGGTAAGTTTGTAATTAGAATGCCTAATTAATTTTAAAACAGCAGTGTATAGAGTCCTAGAAAGCGTAGACTTTGGAGACAGACAGATCTTGGCTGAAATCCTGTCAGTTCCCACTTTACTCAGGGTGTGACTTTGACCCAGCCAAGTAATTTCCTTGTGTGTGGAATTCCTCAAAAGATCTGGTTTCTAGTCCCAGCTCTGCCACTAACTCACTGGGAAATGTTAGGCAGGATATTTCACCTCTCTGGGCCTCAAGTCTTTTAACAGTCTACAGAATAAGAAGTTAACCATGATTTCTTTCCAAGCCAATTTTTGCTATAAAAGAAGTTTGGTTTTCCAGGATACTATCTGCTTTAACAGGAAGAGTTCTTCTGAATTGTATAGTTCACATGAAGAAAAGATGATTTGCTATTTCCTGGGCTGACGACTATTACCTAATTGATTCTCCTTATAGGACGATTAGATAGATAGATAGATAGATAGATAGATAGATAGATAGATAGATAGATAGACAGACAGACAGACAGACAGACAGACAGACAGACAGACAGATAGATAGATAGATAGATTTTTTTTTTTTTTTGAGACAAAGTCTCATTCTGTCACTCAGGCTGGAGTGCAATGGCATGATCTCGGCTCACTGCAGCCTCCACCTCCTGGGTTCAGGCAATTCTCCTGACTCAGCCTCTCGAGTAGCTGGGATTACAGGCATGCACAACTGCACCTGGCTAATTTTTGTATTTTTAGTAGAGACGGGGTTTCACCATGTTGACCAGGCTGGTCTTGAACCCCCGACCTCAAGTGATCCGCCTGCCTCGGCCTCCCAAAGTGCTGGGATTACAGACATAAGCCACCATGCCCAGCCGGACTTAAAAATTTTTTTAACCTCTGGAATTGAGACCACATTGATTTGTAATAATTTGGGCTTCCCCAAAGTCAGGAGCCAAGAGCATATAAAATCCTTTTCTTGCACCTTCTCCTCCCTACCTTCCCCAGGGAGCATTTCTCAGCCTTTTCTTTGTGTGTCTATCTAAAATCCTCCTGGGGCGACCATCAGAGAGTTTCTAACCAAGGAGGGCCCTGTTCTCACATCTCTTTCCCCTTAACATTTAAACCCGTACTTTGCTGGAAGGAAATTTAATCCATATGCTTCTGAGTAATTTGTACTTAACACATCAAAATATTCCGTTCTAACAGTCATTTGTTGTCTCAATCATCCTCCTGGGTCTTTTTAAGGGCTTTTGTTCTTAGTAGTCAATGTAGTAGTCAAAAATGGAATTTGAACTCCAGAAGGATAGTTCCTTATCCTTATTATTCCTCACCCATTTTGGTAGACCCTGCCAGGATGTTCCCCCCGCCACCGACTCCCCCTCACCCAGGTAAGAAAGTGTTTGTTCTAATACACGTTTACTTTCTTTTATTTATAGAATAAGAATGTTAGTTACTATTTGCTGTGCACCAACAATGGCAGGCTCCATATTGGGAACTTTAAATGTATCTTTAACCTTCGCATTGAGTGAGGTAAGCATAATATTTTCCTCCTTTTCCAGATTCAGAACCCGGAGCTCTGAGAGAGTAAGTGATTTTCCTAAAATCATATGGGTGGTAAGAACCTAGGTGTTACTAACTCCAAACACCACACTTACTCTTTATATATTAAATTTATATTTAAAATTAAATTTAAACAAATGGTACTCCAACTTCCACAGCTGGAGGCCTTGCTAGCAGTTCTTCACATCCTCCTCTCCCTGGCAATTTCTATTCATTCCAGCTCAAATGCCACCACCTCTATGTTTGTTTGTTTGTTTGTTTGTTTGTTTGTTTTCTTTTGTTTTTTTTGAGATGGAGTCTCACTCTGTTGCCCAGGCTGGAGTGCAGTCACACAATTTCAGCTCACTGCAACCTTCGCCTCCCAGGTTCAAGAGGTTCTCCAGCCTCAGCCTCCTGAGTAGCTGGTACTACAGGCATGCACCATCACACCCAGCTAATTTTTGTATTTTTAGTAGAGATGGGGTTTCACCATGTTGGCCAGGCTGGTCTCGAACTCCTGACCTCAGGTGTTTCCCCGCCTCGGCCTCCCAAAGTGCTGGGATTACAGGTGTGAGCCACCATGCCTGGCTGCCACCACCTCTAGGAAGGCTTCCCTCTTTGCTGTCTTACACATCCTTCTTTGTCCCACTTAACACACTTCAATATAATCATGTGTTCAGGGTTATTCTCATTCATCTAGATCATCCTAACGCCCAACCCAAAGTAGATGTTTAATTGAGGTATCTCAACTGGAATATTTCTTACTTAAGACTGAGGTAGAAATGTAATTCATTGGTTCATTCAAATTAATTCTAGGCACTAGGAACACGGCAAGTTAAAACAAGCAGATCACTTCCCACACCCAACACCATTCAGGTTTAGAGCCAAGTTCTCCATCCCTATGGACTACATCTAGATATCCTCTTGGAAGGACAGATCAGTAGAGAACAGCTGCACATGGAGACAGCACAATGTAGTGGGTCAAGTGGGTGATTCTGGAGTCAGTCCACCTGCCTGGGCAATTTACTTAACCTCAGTTTCCGTATGAAAGGAATTAGGAAAATAATACCTATTATTGGGTGATTGGGGGGTTGTAGAACACAATTTATATTGCAGACATTACATGTAAACTTAGAATAGTGCCTGAAACTTAGGGTTCAATAAATATTAGCTATTATTATCATTCTCTGTCTCACCCAGCCCATTTGCTTCTCTTTCGCTGACAGCCGACTTACCTAGCAATTATAAACTAAGAAATTAAATAAAATAATCTAATATGATGATTTCACAGATACACTATCTTTCTAAAAGCCTTTTATTGTGTATTGAAAAATAATGTGTTAATCCAACTTTAAAATGCCTAGGCCAAAGAGGTGTAATAATTTTTATACAAAACACAATTATTAGTTGAGCAGATTCTGTAATTTCTCCCAATACAGATATATCTTTTCTTTTTCACCTCTAAAATTTCCACTACAAACAGTCTATATTTTTATTCATATTTTTCTTTTTTCTTCTTCTAAGTCAGTTTATGTGACTCCGTGAGCACACAGAAGTTTTATGAGACCAAGGTCATAAACTCACTCCCTTTGCAAGTCAGCCTATTCCCTGTTTGATAGCTGTGAGATATACCCCGAATCTTGGCCAATGTTACTAATGAAAACCATTTATGACAAGAAATGCCAGTGGATGAAGATGCCAACCTATGCTTTAAAAACTCAGATATTTTTTATAGTATAAAAGCCAGATAAATGAAAAATATTCATGTATGAAGACAGCTGTCATAATATTATTTTAATTGTTAAAAATTTGATAAAACTAAATGTTCAGTAATGGAATAATGGTATAACAAACTTTATAGTCATGCAATAAATTTTAAATGATGGTTTGCAAATATTTTTAAGTGAAATTACAATATAATAACTTTTTATAAAGCAGAATATAGAACCATGTATATGATATGCATTTAACACATTTATACAAAAGCCCATATAGGTATAGAAAATGCAATAAAAAGAAAATGCACTAAAATGTTAACATTTTAGTTGTGGTTACGTCTGTGTAATTAAGTGAATTATGGGTGATTTTTATTTTGTTCTTGATAAAGAAGACTGTACCAGTTCTGACTTTTATTGACTTTGTTAAATGCATTTTGTGATTCCCCTCATGTTTCAGTTTCCTCATCTGTAAGATGAAGAAAATGAGAATATATGTTTCACAAATATCATGCTGCATCACATGAGTTAATGAACATAAAAATAACTAACAGATTTTAATGTAATGTTTAAATATTAAATTATTGGAAAACAGTATAACTTTATTATATGTATAAGTTAACAGCAGTTAGGACTGGAAACTGCATTTGTTCAAAAGATGTAAAATTGTAATAATGGCCAGGCACGGTGGTTCACGCCTGTAATCCCAACACTTTGGAAAGCTGAGGCAGGCGGATCACTTGAAGTCAGGAGTTCAAGACCAGCCTGGCCAACATGGTGAAACCCCATCTCTACTAAAAATACAATAAAAAAAGCCAGATGCGGTGGCACATGCCTGTAATCCCAGCTACTCAGGAGGCTGAGGCAGGAGAATCGCTTGAACCAGGGAGGTGGAGGTTTCAGTGAGCTGAGATCATGCCAATGCACTCCAGCCTGGGCAACAGAGACCTTGTCTCAAAAAAAAAAAAAAAGTAACAAATGTTTATCCCTTTCTTCTGAGACTTTTCCTAGTCCCCTAGGTTTCCCTGTTCCTTTACCTCTCCTAGCTGTTGCATTATTACTGGAAAGGCTGGGGAAATGTTAAGAAGGGTGGTAGTTTGTCTACCCAAAACATAGAAAAAGGATCAAATAAAAAATTCAGAACTGAATGCCCCTATTTTAACCAAATTTGCCAGCTTCCAGAAAAACCAGTGTGCTCTCAGAAAGTAGTTAGTCAAATTTGGCTGGGCATGGTGGCTCATACCTGTAATCGCAGCACTTTGGGAGGCTGACGCAAGCAGATCACTTGAGGTCAGGAGTTCAAGACCAGCCTGGCTAACATGGTGAAATCCTGTCTCTACTAAAAATACAAAATAAGCCAGGCATGGTGGCAGGCACCTGTAATCCCAGCTACTCGGGAGGCTGAGGCAGGAGAATCGCTTGAACCCAGGAGGCAGAGGTTGCAGTGACCCGAGATCATGCCATGCCACTGCACTCCAGCCTAGGCAACAGAGTGAGACTGTGTCTCAAAAAAAAAAAAAATTAATCAAAGTCAAACCATACTGTTTAATAATAAATATCGTATCAATCCCAGCAATAGTTATGACTACTGGATAAAGAAAACTGAAAGCTCTTCTAGGTAAAACAGAATATCCCATTAGCTTGGAATGCATGTTTAACGTGCTATGGGAAATATTATACTGCAAGTAATAAATATTTTATCGCACCTTCACTGACAGTAACAAGAAAAGGAATAGGCAGAGAAAAGATTTGCATATCTCTTCCTTTACCAAAGGATAAAAGATTTAGAGGGATTACACTAAATTACACACAGATGAGGTTTCTGATGCCTGGCTTCCAAATTGGGCCTGATCTCTTAACTTACTGAGGAATTCTAAATACCACTGGAGCGTCTATCACGGGTTTAAGCAATATTCCAAAGCATGGTCTGGTTTTGGTTTCAGAATAAATATAGTCACCATGGGACAACTACCATGCTTTGAGCTTTGTATAAATGTTACTTCATTTAACTCTTTCAATAAGCAAGTATAATTTTTCTATATTTTGAAAATGAAGAAATCAAGGATCATAGAAATTAAGTAACTTGCCTAACATTCCAGAGCTCACAGCAGGCTGAGTGGGTATTCAAATTCTTCCAAGATCCATGTTCTTTCCACTACATTCTTCTTTCTCTGCCACTTCAAATCTCAAACCTTCTTCCCTTGCTGTCTAGACAACCAACCAGGATATTCATGCTAATCTGACTATCCAAAAGTCCCAAGCCTCAACTGTGCTTCAAATATCATGGCACACAACAGACAGACAACATCCAGTCACTTCTACCTGCTTCTCAGGATGAGCTTGGTACTGAATCATGTCACTCATTCAGTCATAAAGCACTTTCCAAGCACTTGCTGTTTGCCAGAATTTTCTCAGGATACTTGTTACCCACTCATATCCTTTACAAGGCAAATTGGAAGTGATCCTGACCCAAATCTGTATAGAGCACATGCAGAAAGAAGGACCATTTCTGTGCTTCCCACGGCTCGTGGACCACTCTCACTGCAGTCAGGGGAGGCCATCATATAAGGTAACAGATAAATGCCATATGACAAACTTCCCTCCTCTTCAGAAATGGACACCAATGGGAGTTCTGAAATGGTTTAATTCTGCTACCAAATCAGAACACTAACATATAATTTACTTTACTAGAAATGGATGTAAAAATAATTAACCTCATAAGAGGTATTAGTGCCCTTATAACAGGGGCTCAAGGGAGCTTGTTCACCCCTTCCATGTGAGGAAGCAGCAAGAAGGTACCAGCCATGAGGTGGAGAGCTAGCTCTCATCAGACATAGAACCTGCTGGCACCTTGATCTCGGCCTTCTCAGCCTCTAGAATTGAGCAAGAAATATTTGTGGTTTACAAATTATCTGGTCTAAGGTATTTTGTTATAGCAGCATGAACCAACTAAGATAGGGAAATAAAACTAAGACAAAGGTTTAAAGTAATGAGTAACTTATTAAAAATATACATTGTTTTTACCAAAGCCATTCCTTTGGCATTATTTTCTAATCAACATAATACGAAAATAGCTATATATTTATATTACTATGGCCCGTGGCACAAACTTAACAGCATATACCATGATACTGTGATAAGGGCTTTACATGCAATATATCATTGAATGTGCACACAAAACAAAATAGGAAAGTATTTTTGGTCCTCTTTTTACAGATAATGAAACTAAGGCTTAAAGAAATTAATTATCTTGCTCAAGATCACACAGGTAGGAGGTGGCCCAGCCCAAGGTTTATCCTAAGCAAAGCTAACAAGAGCTGTGTTCTTAACCATTAGTCTTCCACTTACTCCTAATGTTCTAGTAAATCCAAGAAGGGAACAGCCCACCCATCTCATTTATCTGTGATCTCTTGCATAGCCTCTGAAATACAGCAGATCTGTATTTGTTCAATGTATATTTATTCTCAATATATATATTCATGAACAACAGTCAGCCTCAGTCAGGTAACTATTATGATCCATAAGCATTTCCAGAGGTGCTGATTCAACTTATTTTTCTTTATGTTTTTATCATCACTGGCACACCTACATTTTTAAACATTTGGTCTAGATCATAATATTAGAATTCCAGATAGAAGTCAGAGGTGAAATGAATGAACAGCAGAGGCAGACCTTAGTCCTCCAGTATAAACAAGTGTTTTTATCTGAGTGTCAAGGCAGGTAAGTAATAATGCCAATGATACTGATGCTGGACAAATAATTAAATGTGAAGTCAAACTCTGAAGCATAAGAAAGTGTTAGATTTGAAGTCACTGATACACCAAATAAAACAGATAATAAACAGTGTTCTGGACATCCAATCAGCAATAACTTTAGTCAGAGGAGTCCTGACTAAGGAGGTGCAGGCCAAGAGGGCTAAGAAAATGTGGTGTCTAATCCTGAATACAAAACAGAAGCCTAAGGTATCCCAGGGGGATGGGGGTGTGGGCCTTTTTTCCCAGGGCCAAATCACCACAAAGCAAATTGCGGGAGATATGCCTTTCTACATATTTCCCATCTTAGAATATGCTTTTTAATTTTATTTTTAATTTTAAGAAGAAAAGAGAGTCAGCGTGGGGATGAATCATGGCTATCCATTCCAAAAGGTGAAAGCAGATATCCTGAGTTAGTAATATTAAAATGAAGAAACCAAGTTATCTCAACTGTAATGGAGATCACTTATCATAAAGAAAGACATAAAGGTCTATTATTAGCAGAATAGAATAGAATTAGTAGAATTCTAGTAGTAGAATTCAGAAAATGGTAGATTAGTTTGGAGTCTGTCATTTCATCATATAGCCAAAATGCTTCCAAGATGAGGTGAGCTTGCTAATGCCATTTTTGTCATGTACATGCCAATAATGCTACATATTGTTTACTGCTGCAGGAAGTCAGGGACCCCGAACAGAGGGACAGGCTGGAGCCGCGGCAGAGAAACATGAATTGTGAAGATTTCATGGACATTTAACAGTTCCCAAATAATACTTTTATAATTTCTTATGCCTGTCTTTACTTTACTCTCTTAATCCTGTTATCTTCATAAGCTGAGGATGTATGTCACCTCAGGACCACTGTGATAATTGTGTTAACTGTACAAATTGATTGTAAAATGTGTGTTTGAACAATATGAAATCAGTGCACCTTGAAAAAAAACAGAATAACAGCAATTTTTAGGGAACAAGGGAAGATAACCATAAGGTCTGACTGCCTGTGGGGTCGGGCAAAAAGAGCCACATTTTTCTTCTTGCAGAAAGCCTATAAATGGAAGTGCAAGTAGGAGAGATATTGCTAAATTATTTTCCTAGCAAGTAATATTATTATTAATACCCTGGGAAAGGAATGCATTCCTGGGGGGAGGTCTATAAACGGCTGCTCTGGGAGTGTCTGTCTTATGCGGTTGAGATAAGGACTGAGATATACACCCTGGTCTCCTGCAGTACCCTCAGGCTTACTAAGGTGGGGAAAAACTCCACCCTGGTAAATTTAAGGTCAGACCGGTTCTCTGACCTTAAAAAACAACCCTGTTTTCTGTTGTTTAAGATGTTTATCAAGACAATACAAGCACCACTGAACACAGACCCTTATCAGTAGCTCTGCTTTTGCCTTTTGTCCTGTTCCCTCAGAAGCATGTGATCTTTGTTAGACCCTTATTAGTAGTTCTGCTTTTTGCCCTTTGAAGCATGTGATCTTTGTACCTACTCCCTGTTCTTACACCCCCTCCCCTTTTGAAACCCTTAATAAAAACTTGCTGGTCTGAGACTCAGGCAGGCATCACAGTCCTACCGATATGTGATATCACCCCCGGCAGCCCAGCTGTAAAATTCCTCTCTTTGTAATCTTTCTCTTTATTTCTCAGCCAGCCAACACTTATGGAAAATAGAAAGAACCTACGTTGAAATATTGGGGGCGGGTTCCCCCGATAGTTTACAAACAAACAAATAATTAACTCACTATTGTGACAGTGTCACTCAATAGTATTGGCACAGGCATTAGTAATTTCAGGTATAGATATTCAAAATTCAAAGTACACCAAAATGTAATGTTCTAAGAAATTATTCCAAAAAATGTTCTTGGAATAAAAAGAGAAATTTCTTTTTAAAAAAAATTAATTATTACTATTTTTTTTAATAGGCAGGATCTTTATCTGTGATCTCTTGCATAGCCTCTGAAATACAGCAGTGGGTGAAATACAGTCACCCAAAATGGAGTGCAGTGGTATGATCATGGCTCACTGCAGCCTCAACTTCCTGGGCTCAAGCAATCCTCCCACCTCATTCTCCTGAGTAGCTAGGACTACAGGTACGGGGCACTACACCTGACTAATTTTTTTATTTTTTATTTTTTGGAAATGGGATCTCAATAAGTTGCCCGCACTGGTCTCAAACTCCTGGAGTCAAGCGGTCCTCCCTTCTCTCCCTCCCAAAGTGCTGGGATTACAGATGTAAGCTACCATATCTGGCCAAAAAATATCTTCTTAGCTAAGTGGCTTTTAACATTTCCTATTTTTAAAAAGCATTATCAGGATGAATATTCATATTTTATTTACCAGGTATATATAGTGTCTACTAAGTGTTAGGCACTGTTCCAAGCATTTTACTCATTCAATCCATATCATAGCCCTATAATGTAAATATTGTTATTGTTATCATCCCCATTTCACTGAAAAAGAAACTGAAGCACAGAGGTAAACTGTAAGCCCAAGAGCTCATAGCTAACAAATAAAGGCTCCAAGATTCAAGTCCAGCCATTCCCTCTCCTATACCTATTACATGTATTTGTATATACTTGGCAAGAGTACAGGGGAAGTCTGAGAAGCACAGAGAAGTGGAAGCATGTGAAAATCAGTTGTGGGTCCTAGTAAAAATGACAATAGGCCTCAGTTTCCTTGAGACAGTTCCAGTTTATGCCTGTTGGCCCAGTGGAATTATCAATAGTATCCACTGGCATTCCTAATAGTGTCCAAGCTTGAACAATACATTGTATAGTCCATCTGTTCAAAGTGCCCTATTCTACTACCATGGGCAAGGCTCTTAAGCCTTGTCGTCCATAATTCTCCCACCTGTGAAATAGAAATGCTAATGTTTGTTCTCTTTTTGCCTCCCAAGATGATATTATTGTGGCAGTATGTAGAAGAATGTAAATGTACGGTGCAGTATTTTCAAGTGTTATACATGTCAGATAGCTGTAAAGGGAACTTCTACAACTTCTAAGCTGCCATCATGTGCAGTGCACAAAGGTACGTGCTTTACATTTGCTAATGAATTCATTGCCCATGAGTACACAACGCCTTTTTTATTCTTACAAAAAAAAATTTATGATAGAAACCCAGGATAGAGTACAAACAAATCATTAAGTCACTATTAACCATTATTACTGAACCAGAAACTATTACAAGAAACTTGAAAAGGAAGCTTTGCTAATTTCATTATATAACATCCACTTTACGGTTGACTCATTATTTCCACTTAAGCAAGAAAAATGAACAGAATGAAAAGAATACACTGTTTTGTTATTTAAAATACAGTTTAAAAGGCTAGTACTGATAAGTAATTTATCAGACAGAAAAGCTATAGATTCACTTTACAAAGGAAGAAGTACATTGAGACCTTGCTGCTACAGTAATGAGTTGAAATTCAGGAAAATCACCTACATACTGGGAATTAAAAGATGTGAGTTTTGTTAAGTGTGTGTGTGTGTGTGTGTGTGTGTGTGTGTGTGCGTGTGTGTGTTGTGTGCCTCAATCCCTTTGTGTTTTGGCTTTTCAGTCTGGAAATTCACAAAAATAGGACAAGTCATAATATCTAAAATGGATAAATATATTATATTCTTTTTATCTTCTTGTACCTTTCCTCAGTTTTCAATTTTCTGTTCCCTGATTTCCATCCACCTACTCCCCACACTCTAATTTTTGAAATATTGCAGTTCCATTACAACCTGTTACTTTCCTACTCCTCTTTAATTTATCAGCTCACTAAGTGTACTCATCTCTTTATTGAAAATAAGGCAAGAAAACTAAATATATTTGTTGTGTTTATTTTTTCTTTAAAATTTTGTCCTACTTTGCAACAGCAGAATTTTGTTACAATTCTCTTAACTGTAAAGTCAGAAGTTTCAATTAGTTGATCCCCATGAAATGCACAGCTTTGTAGATCATGCAGTACTACATCATGTGAATGGAAGAGCTTAATAAATGCATCAGACTGAAACAAGGATGGAGATTACGATGGTGTGCGTGATTCTACCTTGCTTTGGAAAGTTGCGTGAAGGGATCATCATAACAACTAACCCTGCTTCATTTAAGCAATGAATCTCGGGCCAAATAGAGAAAAAGAAAGAATCAAGGAAGGAAAGGAAGAAAAGAAAAAAGGAGGGAAGGAAGGAAAGGAAAGGAAAGAAAACCTTTTTGGTATATAAAAACATAAAAATGCCAGATTTGTAGCATTTATGTAATTTCTTTTTTCAGTGAAATTTGTTTTGTTAGTCATGAGAATCTGAAATACAAAGCCAAGTTATATAAATACAAATTTGGCTTTCTAAAAAATCTTTTTTATCTTTACCTGTCACAGAGAGTGGTTGCGAAAGTATTAATGAATGATGTTGTGCAGTCAGGAGACCTATGTGCTAGCTTTAGCTCTACTTCTAATTAACTGCCCATGCACAATCTAGTCGCCTAATTTTTATAGGCCTGGACTTTGTCATGATTCCTAAGGCGTCTCGGAATAAGAAATAATGAGAAGATTATATCTTTGGTCCTTTAAAACTTTTTTTTTACATTGCAAAACTGCCATACATTGACCAATTCTTTTCTATAGATAACCTGAGGTCTTTATAAAGTAAGATTTAAAAAGGGGAAATATTTAATGAGTAATATTTTCCAGTTATGTTTCCCACAAAGATGAGAAAATTATTAACATTGCATGTCACAACTAAATTGCAGCTTAAATGTACATAATGAATGTAAACTATTACAATGTTATTAAAATAGTTTATGGTTACTCTTTATAACATCATAGTATTCCAAGAACCAGAGCTTCTGACTTTAAGTTGACCTGTGCTTTCCATAAAGAACAGTTTCATACTTGTGAAAAAAATGTATAATTGCTGTAAAACAATAGTTTGTGAACACTACTTCAGACTTTCTAATCATGCTCGAGGGAACACAAGAGCTCATTTCCTCTGAACTTCTACTACTTATGTTTTATGTTAAGAGGTTGCATTGGTTTGCAGAGGCATTAGTTAGCCAGAAAACTAGTCCCTTGAGCACTTGCTTCATTATTAAATGTAAAATAAGCCACTAAATAGCAGGATGAAGGCAACTTTCACATTTACCAAAATCACCTAATAGGCTTATGGAGAACAGGTGAGTATCATTCCATTCTAGAGTACTAAGTACATCCACTTGAAATATAGAAAACACAGCCTCTTCCAAGCATGAAGGAATCTTTGTATTCTTTGATTTCTCAGAAGCAAAAATTTAGCAAGTACAGACACAAGTTATAATAAAGATACAATGAAGGCACTGCCTGCTTGGATTGAAGAGCACAGGAGAGAGAGCAATTAGGTCATTTCTAACTCATTTTTCTCCAGGTCACCCAGTCCTTGCAGTAAGCCAGGGTCAACTCCACCTAGACAACCTCCCCAGCACTATAACTTGGTTTCATAAGGGACCACCATATTGCGCTCACTATTTTCAGTTAAATTCATGGCAATGAAACTCTTTCACTCCCAGACAACTGTTTATCAATGACTGATAACATAATATTCACGACAGAGGAATAGCCTGCTTGAACCAGCACTTTTCTTACCTGTTACTTGGTTTTGAAGAGACTATAAACTATTGGAAGAACTTGTCTGGTTTCCTATTTTATGCCAAACCTTATTCTATCGCTCTAAAAAAGAGGAGGAAAAAAATACTCATTTTTTGAACAGCAACAAAAAAAAAATCACAGATATCATAATGCTATTGAGCAAGTTAATGCAAAATACAGTGGAATAATACCTAGCCCAGGAATGAGAAGACATGAATTCTGCTTTTGAAACCTTTGAAAAATTATGCCTTCTCTCAATGCCTCAATGTTTTCTTATAAAGTAAGAAAGGTTTCTAAATTAAAGGTTTGAAGGTTTCTAAACTTTTGTTAGAATGAGAATCCTTTTTTTAACCAAATTTACCAATGAATTCAACCTGTTAAACTGATAAAATGACACTGCTGTGGACAAAAAGGCAGCAAGAAACCCACACTGTCACCAACCGTCTTCTGTCTTCTCCCCTCGCCCCCATGCAGACTGCAAACCACTAAGCTTTGGCATCTCTAAGATCACTTCGGTGATTATGGATGGATGACAAGGAGAATAAATAAATCAGATGTTAGTTTTTAAATACTGATACTGAGCTGTCTGAGGCTCAGGAAAAGAGTTTAACAGAAAAATAAAGGGGGAAGGAATTGATGGTCCTCTCTCAGTGGTTCTACATTCTGGCTACTGGGGCCTTGTTTTAGAGAACTCCGTTTATTTTATTATCATTCACTTCTGGTTTGAAAAGCCAAAGAGTCAAATAATAGAATGAATTAAAAAGAATATGTTTGTTGTAATAAATTTCATATTTCTCATCTATACCAGTTCACTCTCCTCTAAGGAGCACCAAAATATGCTTAAGGTAGAGATTGCTACCATATATTTACTCTGGTTCATCATAATTCTATGTCAAACATCCCTTAGAGAAATAACTAATTATAATCTTATTCAAAGATGGAATCCAACCTAAAACAAAATTAAGTCTGCTATTATGAGGTAGTATGAGACAATACCAAGTTGAATTTGTAGACAGCCTACTATTCAGAATTTATGAAAGACTTTTCTAATGGAAAACTAGTATAATCAACAAGCTGGAGTTTAAAACAAACTTGAGGACAAATCGTGAAATGGAAAAATTAACTGTTCATTCAATAAATTGTTTTGCACCAATAATGATTCTGGCAATACTGTAGGTACTAGAGGTATAGCTGTGAACAAAACAGACAAAAATCCTTGCCTTCATGAAGCTTATATTCTCATTTTCTTTTTATTTTATTCCTCCCTCTCTCCTTCCTTCCTTTCTTCTTTCCTTCCTTCATTATTTTCTCTTCTATATTCACCTTATTCTAGAAAGGATTAAAGGTGATAGGGCAATACATTCCATAGAATAAAACATTTAACCTATAGTTAACAGGCCCCCTTGCCGCCGCCGCCAAAATACAACAGGCCCCTTTGTAGGACACGGACCACTGGAGAACACTAGCTATTTACATTGAACATTCTCATTGTCAATACTCTAGTGTAAAAGAAGGGAGAAGAGGCAATAAGCACAAAAGAGTAAGAATAAAGAGGGAGAAATAAGAGAAAATGGGAGATGAAGTAACAAAAATCAGAAATTTTAAGTAGAGTGCTTTGGCACAGACCACTAATTGTCCTCCAATATTCATTCTCCTGTTCCTTCCTTGTAATAATAGAATATTTCCCATTACTTCTTACTTTTAGCTGGACACATAATTGCCTATCCCCAAACTATACTTCGCAGAGTCCTTTGCAGCTAGGTGTGACCATATAACTAAGTTCCAGCCAATGACATATGAAAGAAAGGAAGTGATGTAAACAATTTCAGGCCACATTTGTATTAAGGAAGTGGCTTTCCCTCCGTTCTTATGACTATCCACCATCAATTGAGGCTAGGACAAGAACAGAGTTGTGGTAATCCACCTTTACTATTAGATGGGAGTCATATTTTGGGGAAAGAAGGGAAAAACAGAAGTAACATGAATTCCTTCACCTTATGGAATGAAAACTCCTCTATGCCCTCTTTCTTTTCTGAGTCACTGTATTTTAGGGTGTCTTTGATACAGCAACTTAGATTATACCCTAATTAACATAAGCTTTTTCTACTTTGTTAATGACTAAAAAATGGAAACAAAAAAAAAATCGGAATAGATGCAAAGAAACGACACTCATTAAGTGCCTCTGCCTCTATTACAAGAGTTAGAATCTTCAGGGAGTCTTAACTCTAGCTCGGTCAAGTCACACTAAGAGAGCTTCGTAAAATGATTCTGAGAGTTTCCATAGACACCTCAGGTAGGTCAGATTTCAACAGTCCAAAAAAATTTCAGCAGGATGCTGAAATCATTCACCACAGTCACATTCTACCTATGGCTGGCTATCTGCTAGCTTCTTATTACACAGAACTTAAAAAAACACCTTTTTTCCTATCATACAAACATCTCTACCTTGCTATTTTGCTTAGCAGGATGGATTTGGCATGGAATTGATTAAATAGGAAATATTTCTAGCCTCTTCACTCTTTAGCTGCATTCCTCATGACAATAAAATAAAGAGTGATACAGTAGATTACAAGATTGTGTACACAAACTGGACAAATACAGACCTTGGATACACATCGTGGGAGTAGATACTAAACAATTATATCATTGAGAATGCTTTCTTTCCCCAGAGTCTTTTCTCCAGTATTTTTAGAAAATACCATATACAATTATTGTAACTCATGCTTTGAAATAATAATGTTAGACCGGGAGTGTTGGCTCACACCAGTAATCCCAGCACTTCAGGAGGCTAAAGCAGGCAGATCACCTGAGGTCAGGAGTTCGAGACCAGCCTGGCCAAGATGGTAAAACCCTGTCTCCACTAAAAACACAAAAATTAGCTGGGTGTGGTGGCATGTGCCTGTACTCCCAGCTACCCAAGAGGCTGAGGCTGGAGAATCACTTGAACCCGGGAGGTGGAGCATGCAGTGAGCCAAGATCGCAACACTGTACTCCAGTCTGGGCAACAGAGCGAGACTCTGTCTCAAAAAAAAAAAAAAAAAGAAATAATAATGTTAAACTTCTCCCTCATTTGTTATAACTTATTCTTCCTGTATATTTGCTACTAAAATATTGAAAGCTATTTTTGAGTCTACCATTAAAAAGTATTTACAAATATTTGAATAATCTGGGTAATTAAGCATTAAAAGTAGTAGAGAAAAATAGGTTAAACATGGTGATGCAACAAAAATGTATAGCATGTTCTGACATTCCATTTTTCTTCAGATTTTTATTTGTTTGCTTTTCCTCCTACGCACCATAATAAAACATAGAGTTACAATCAACGTGTGATGACAAATGGTCTCCGGGTTGGGTTTGCATTCCTCTAAATATATTGGCATTTGTAAGCTGGAAAAGATAGATGTAATCAACCACCCTCAGACAAAAGTAGGATGACTATTTCTGGCAAAATGTTCAAACCACATTAAGCCCTAATTTGAAATGATGTTTGAAAGAAAGCAATGCAACTAGGACCAATTTATTTGTACAGCAACTAAAAACTGAACTTACTAGACATATTTAAGAGATGGAAGCAATTAAATGTGTTTGTTTTCTAAATAGACCAAGTATATTAGAAACTTTGAAGGCAAGAAAAATCCCACTTTACTAGACTCAATCATTTGTTGCTGCGCAATACTTAAATCATTTTCTTTAGTAGTCCTCTGAGGTTGTTCTAGTAAAACACGCTATTTTTAAGAGGGAATAAACAATCTGTTTAATTTCACATTATCAATATATCATAGAATTTCTTTCTAGTTAGCAGCATGTAGAAGTATGAAATCGCTGTGAGAAAGTGTGAGACAACCTTTTTTTTGCTGGTATGTGTGATCCTTACAGAAAACCAATTCCTGTTGTTTACACATTCAAATGTTTGTCAGACTCTTCTGCAAACCAGTGGTGCAGAGAGTCATTTTTATGGCGGGGGGGGAATTGGTGGTTTTCATTGGTGGTTTTCATTCTTGTTTTTCAAAAAGATGAATTTCGATGTTTTCTCCTTGTATTCAAATCAAGTTTCTATGGTAGTCTGAAAAAATTCAGGTAAAATTATGTCATCTGAATCCTCTTATGTACATACCTAGACACAGATTTAGCATTTCAGCTAAAGATAACAATTGTTCTGGCTCCAAGGAGACTGAAATAGTGACATTTGTACCCAAAATAATATCTGGCTCCAAATGTGGGATGGCCAGATAACAGAATATCATCAAGTCTTTGGCTAATATATGTACCATGACCACTCAATCAAAGAGAGTTTCTTTGAGACCAAGTGTCCTAGACGTTCTGGCATCTTTTGCCCGGGGATATATCCTACAAGCCTGGCTAAGAAAGGTGGCTCTTTACACACCATAATGAAGACCAGGCCCAGGAGGGCAGCACCGCCAAGGTCCCACTGAAGTTTGCCAAGAATTGATGCTACGGAGTATTGAAAACAGGACAGGGCCCTGTCAGTTCTCCTGCTCTGCATCACTAGTTTGCAGAAGAGTCTGACAAATATCTGAATGAATAAACAACAACAGGAATTTGTTTTCTGTGAGGATCACACATACCAGCAAAAATACATGAGGACGGCCCCTGCATGGAAGACACAGGAAAGACTGAGAGGAAAAAAGAGAAAACTCTAATTTTTTAATCTCATTCCAGCATAACTCCAAAGAACTCAAGGGCTCTCCTCAGGGTTTATTTACTTTATGCAAAAACACTAACAATTCAATATTGCTAACAGTGGTGGTTCCTCCTAGAAATCCATCTAGGGCTAGGAGATGTATTTGACTTTGATATGTGCCTATTCAAGCTGCTGAGAAAAGAATTAAGGAAATGTTCCTTAAAGAGAGGAGCAGCCTGAAACATATTCACAAGGCTAAAATACTGGTGAGACAACTAAAGCATGACCAAAACATCAACTTCAATGAATTGCTTCATTTCAAACTAGTATAAGATTTCATATATAGCAAGTGTAAAATATTTTAATTGAGCTAAAAACCAATGAATGTTTCAGATCCCATAACTGTAATATTCAGCACTTTGGCTAAAGTATTTAAAGATTAAACGTTTCTTCTACTTAAAAACTACATTAAGAATGAAAATACAAATAATACATTAAATAAAAATACATTTTAAAGAAATTCACATTATATTTATCTATGTAAAACTGAACTTGTCCCAGGGAACAATCCTGCTTTAACAGAAAGGATAAGAAAACTCAAAGAGTTTTGAAGTATTGGCTTTAAAAAAAAACAACTAAAACTTACTAAGCAAGAATAGTCATAAAATTTAAATCACTCAGCAAGCACTAAGCGAATACATGTTATATGTAAGACACTGTAAACTTCAATTTTCATAACACACAGCACATGTACAATACCCTCTCTCAAGATGAGCTTGGTACCACATATACAGACCTATGTCCCACTCCGGGTAGATAATCTTTCACTGGCCTCTTCTCAGTTGGAATTTACAATTTACTACCTTACAATGCATATACATTCACTTTGTGTGCATCTTACAACACTTAAGATACAATGGTACTACAAGGCATATTTGACTTTCTCTAACTTCAGCATTACA
This sequence comes from Homo sapiens, assembly GCF_000001405.40. Classification (NCBI taxonomy): domain Eukaryota; kingdom Metazoa; phylum Chordata; class Mammalia; order Primates; family Hominidae; genus Homo; species Homo sapiens. Next base: position 37,116,434 of record NC_000014.9, read on the forward strand.
TTTGAAGTCCTTGGACATGTTATTGAAAGCCCTTACTAGGCAGACCTTTCCAAACTAACCAGAACATATCCTTTTAATAAAAAATAATAGCTATGTTCTCATTTTCAAAGTTTGTGATTAAAACCTACAGTGAAAGAATCCAGCTGAGAAAAAATTTCCTTTTGGTTCAAAAAAAAATAATGTCATTAAATTTATCGGAACAATATGAAATGAAGATGTTGTTGTTGGGTCCTTCACTTATAATAGAAACCAAATATGCTTGCTGGCTTAGTTAAATCCACAAATTATTTGTCACATAACATTTCAACAACAATTTTGAACATATAAAAGTTAAGGTACCAAAGAAAATCCCACTGTCAATGATAATCAAACTAAACAACTACACATCTTTTTGTATGTGATTTAATTGCCCAGATTTCAAAGAAAGCCACATAATCTTATGAGTTAAAATATTTCTTTTTCTTATTTTAAGCATGGCAGGACAGCTTTTCAAAACATAACTTGTAGTATTGGGTGCCATTCCAACTACCAATTCAGATCCTTTGACATGGCGGCTCAGTTTGCTAATCTTGGCTTATACTTTTAAAAACAACTTACTACAACTTTACGTGGTAGCATTCTGTTTTTCTTATAGTTTATAGCTGAAAAATGTACTCTTTAATTACTCTTGATATTGACAAAGGGCACTGTGACTCATTTTATTTTTCAACATAGAGCTAAAAGGTACATGAATCATCCTTTTGAAATTTGGAATGCAGGCAAAACAGTGGCTGTGAATGGAGTCTAAGTAAATAATTCCTCTCATCATCTAAACTTTTTTTCAGGGCATCAGCACTAGAAAAAGTCATTTTCTTAGCAGTAGCTTATTGCCCTAAAAAAGAAATGGTGAAAAATTTATTCCCAGAGCACAGTTTATTTACCATAAGATGTGGCTCAGTAAAGTGTTTTGTATGTTGGAAATGTAAAGTTAATTCTTCCTGTCAAAGCCTTAGGAAAACAGGCACATCGTAAACATACTTTTGCATTTTAGAGCTGGCTCTCTTTATTTTAGAAGAGAGTTTTTTCTATACATCCCTTAAGTCGGCATTCTTAGATGTGTAGAAATGAGAATAAGTAATTTAATAGTATCCTGGTATGACAGATCTAATATAACATATACTAGAGTACGTTTTTCACTCTCCACATGGGAATACAAAGAGGGAGAGGGGGGAAGTGTAGAAAATAAAATCCCAAGAGATGAAACTGATACCTCTCTATGAAGAACTTTTAAGCTCCTTCAAATAGTGGGGTTAAGTCACTGCCAAGGCTCAATACTGCCATCTCCTTCCTAAATGCAGAAATACATAAGCAATCTGAGGATAAAAATACAGGATCACAAAGCAAAAAGTAGTTACTGGATACATAAAATTCACCAAACATAGTTTTTTTTTGTTTGTTTTTTTTTTTTGTCATTTTGGTAGGAAGTCCAATCACTAAAGATAGTTTAAAAACTTTATTAAATTAACAAATATTTTAAGACTACAAAATGATTCTTTTTTGTATGGATTCCCCTCCTCCCAAAAAGCTTAATTTATAGTTTAAATGATAATAGCCCTCCCCAGAAACTAAACCACCTTTGCAAAACTAATGAAAGGCCACCAAGTTAGGAGGATGGTAGGAACCCGAATTATACTAACGTACAGATGTAATGGATTACCAGCCATTATTCCAGAGGTCACAATATTTGCAGCTTCTCCAACCACTCCTGCAGATAACACCACTATTGTTAGAACCTAAGAATGGACTTTTGAGATGTCTTTTCAGGTTTTTGCATTTCTGACAACTGATGGCTCCACCCAGATCCACCAACAAGTCCTGTGGCCCCACCTAGAAGCAGACTCAGCAAACAGGAAGACCATTTTCCACAGCTCTGTGATTGTACCCCCAAACAATCAGCAGCTCCCATTCCCCAGCCACCTGCCTCCTCCCAACTATTTTTGAAAAACTCTAGCCTCCAAATTTTTAGGGAGGCTGATTTGAGTAATAATAAAACTCCGCTCTCCTGTTTAACTGGTTCTGAATATGTAAAGCTCTTTCTCTATTGCAGTTCCCCTGCCTTGATAAATTGGCTTTATCTGGGCAGTGGGTAAGAAGAACCCATTGAGTGGTTACACTATTATTGATAATAGTCCAACTTATTTTTCTTATTTTAAAAGATATTTAAGGATTGAGACAACTACTAAGGAAGTACATAAAACCAACCTTAAATTTAAGCAGAGTAATTCCCTGGACTATCTTTTCTTTAGGGTTTTTATACTTATTCCTTGACTCCCATGGTTTCCTTACCTAGTAATTGATTCCTGAAAATCCACCATTACAATAATTTTTTTTTAATTTAAAGGTTTTTTCAGAGGCATTTGAACCAGAGTGACTCCATCTTGAACACAGGCTGGGTAAAATAAGTCTGACACCTACTGGGCTGCATTCCCAGGAGGTTAGGCATTCTAAGTCACAGGATGAGATACAAGCTTAGCACAAGATACAAGTCACAAAGATCCTGCCGATAAAACAGCATGCAGTTAAGAAGCTGGCCAAATCCAACCAAAACCAAGATGGTGATGGAAGTGACCTCCAGTAATCCTCACTGCTCATTATACACTAATTATAATGCATTGGCTTGCTAAAGGACACTCCCACTGGCGCCATGACAGTTTACAAATGCCATGGCAACATCCAGAAGTTACCCTAGATGGTCGAAAAAGGAGAAGAAGCCTCAGTTCCAGGAACTGCCTGCCCCTTTCACAGAAAACTCATAAATCCACCCCTTGCTTAGCATAGAATCAAGAAATAACTAGGCCAGGCACAGTGGCTCATGCCTGTAATCCCAGCACTTTGGGAAGCTGAGGCAGGTGGATCACTTGAGGTCAGGCATTCGAGACCAGCCTGGCCAACATGGTGAAGCCTCATCCCTACTAAAAATACAAAAATTATCCAGGCGTGGTGGTGTGGTGGCATGGGCCTATAATCCCAGCTACTCAGGAGGCTGAGGCAGGAGAATTGCTTGAACCTGGGAGATGGAGGTTGCAGTAAGCCAAGATAGTGCCACTATACTCCAGCCTAGGCGACAGAGTGAGACACCATAAAAAAAAAGAAAAAAGAAAAAAGAAAAGAAAAGAACTATAAGCATAATCAGTTGAGCAGCCCACGCCGCTGCTCTGCCTATGGAGTAGCCACTATTTATTCCTTTACTTCCTAATAAACTTGCTTTCACTTTATTCTATATTCTATGGATTTGCCCCAAATTCTTTCTTGTGTGAGGTCCAAGAACCGTCTCTTGGGGTCTGGATGGGAACCCCTTTCTGGTAACCATTTCAGCTCTATTAAAATGAAAATAGCTCACAGAGAGGTAAATATGTAATACAGCATCAACTACAAAGATCTTACTGTACACTGTTCTCAGGTAGGGTGGCAGCAAGTTCCTACCTAAAGATAAAGGTGAAAATGATATGATATGATATCTGCCACAATGATACGAGTGGCAGAAGGAGATTCAATGTTCAGACTTTAGAAATAGAAAATAAGATGGAAACATTTCTGTGAATCTATCAAAAGAAGAACATACTTTACATAAATCATAAGAATTATATTAAAATTTCACCACAGAAATAAAATAATCATAATATTTTTATACCTTCTAAATTTAATAATTCAAAACGTCAAGACAGCTTTTTCTTTAAGTAAACTATGGAATGAAATCAGGCTCAGGAGAAGATTTTCCCTTCCTTTAAAAACTGCCAATCTTTATACAAAAGTCACTGGAGCAAATTATCTCCTCACCCACCACCTCCAAGTTTTTAATCAACATGTGTTTTAAACATTTTGGCTTTAGACCTTTTCATAAAAAGCATATATTGTACATGTGTGTAATGTCATTTGAAAGAATACGTCTTACAAAGTTACTATTAATGTGTTGCAAAAAGTAAATATGACATGTTTTTAAATGACCAAAGGGGACTTACTTCATGTTCATCAATACTGCCTTCAGTCCTCCAATAAATCAGTGGTGACTTTAAGTCCTTTCTGCCTTTTATCCAGAGTTAGAAAGAAAGAACACCAAAACAGCTGCCAAACTCCACAATGCAGAGGATGGGAGAGACTACCCATGAAGCATAAGGAGCACCAGATCTGACTGCTTTGCCTTGGGCCCTTGAACCAAAAGACACTGCGCACTACAAGCTGTGGGCCATTCCTAAGCTTAGTTACCGGGCATGTCAGCTCAACTGTGGGGAAAAAGGTGGTGAAATAAAAACATCCAGAGCTGGGGTGTTTTCTCTTGTGCCCTCTTCTTGGTGGTGTTACCATTGGAAAGCTGAGCAATGAGAGAAAAGTATCCAGAAGTTTCTCCATATATAAATCAGTAAAAAGACACATTCTGCTCCTTGAAGAGAGAGAATGTCCTAATTGGTATAAGTACTGCCAGCCACATCCTTCCACTCTTTCCTCTTATAAGGGGAAAATTGAGAGAGCTGTTGTGGATGCTATAAACGTGAGACCACTTGCTAATTGAGGACAACCTGAAGCTAATAAATGGGCTGAGTAAACATTTCTTCGCAAAAAGTATTATGACCAAGGTCTTTTAACCTTAAGTGACCTGAAGAAATGTCCCAAAGGGCAAACTGAAAGTGATCATGTACCCTTTAAAAGTGACTTTCAAACTTTTTCAGAACTTGCGCCAGGCAAAAAGCTTAACAACCACACTTGCTCCTAGACACAGCTCATGAAAATTATTGAAAAGATTAGTCCAGAATTTTCATGCTACCTTATTAGAATGGTTACATCCAGTTATTTGGTCCTTTCTTTTGGCCGATTACATGACAGGGCACGATTTTTCCCCTGAGATAAATTGTGTGAACATGAGTTCAATTAATTTAATACTCCTAATCTCACTGACCTATTGAGTGGAAACAAAATGACATGTCAGTGCGGATAGGGGAGGGAAATGTAAAGAGTGAGGGAGGTACAAAACAAGTTAACATGTGGATACCAGCATATAATTTGTTTTTGTTTTTTATTTTGTTTTAAGTGCAGATTCTGGCCAGGAACGATGGCTCACAACAGTAGTCCCAACACTTTGGGAGGCTGAGGTGGGCAGATCACTTGAGGCCAAGAGTTTGAAACCAGCCTGGCCAACACGGTGAAATCTCATCTCTACTAAAAATACAAAAATTAGCTGGGTGTGGTGGTGGGTGCCTGTAATCCCAGCTACTTGGGAGGCTGAGGCAGGAAAAATTGCTTTATTCTGGGAGGTGGAGGTTGCAGTGAGCCAAGATCGCGCCACTGCACTCCAGCCTGAGCGACGGAACGAGACTCCATCTCAAAAAGAACCAAAAAAAAACAAAGCAAAAAGTGTTGTTTCTATTAAATGCCATGAGTGGGGAATTCACGCCGGAGAAACTCATCCCATCTCATCTTATGCTCCAATCCTTTCTTTCAAGAACCATCTCGTGAGAGTCCTTCATCAAGTGTCCCCTAATGCCCAGAGACAGCAATAAACCCATCTCCCCTGATGATAGTCTCTCTCTATCCTTTTATCAGTTTTATATAACATTTTTATTTCTTGAGGTACTCAACCACCTTATCTCCAGAACCTTTAATATGCTAACATACATTGCTAATCTTTAACAGGAGGATATAGTGTACCTTTTTTCCCAAACTTATTTAACTAGAAACTTTTTTCTAAAGTGTACCTTGCAGGACTAATGTCCTACCAAACACACTTTGGAAAATATGCTTTAGGTTAAGAAGAACTCTTTAACGTTTTTCAGTGCATCTGTTTAATCAGTTATACATCTATCCTACAGTGCTTGTGCAAGTGGATTTTCATGTCTAAATTCTTTACTTGGGGAAACCAACTACCCAAACATAGTCTGGAAAACAGAGAGGAATGTGGCTTAACAGTAGCACATTCCTTCCCTTATTCGTTCAAAAGAAAATAAGGAACACCTACCATGAGTCAGGCTCTATGCTAAGTGCTGGGCATACAAAAATGGCCAGGACTCAATTAATTACTTCTGTCAAAGTGCTCACTGTTTTCTGGAGGATGTAGACAGAATCATACACTGTACACATTGCCACAGCTATGACTCACATGGTAGTGCTGTATACAACCAGAGTAGCTTCACGTGGAAGCTTTGAATGTACACATGTAAAGAAACAATACGATATAGTATGAGTACAACATTTGAACACTACACAAAATTTACACTCCACACAAAAAGAAATTTAACTCCATTTGGATATATCAGGGAATATTCATAAAAGAGGAGCTGTATCCTCCTTCCCTCTTCCATGATCACTAACAGTGGTCCAAATGTTTTATTGACGTTCTTGTCCCCCAATAACTGAGAATTATTTACCAAAATACTAAAAATTAAAGTATCACTCATCTAGAAATCAACCAAAAAATCCTCCTTTTGCAACACAATTTGTATGTTTATAAATATAGGTCTATATAGCTGATAACAATTTGCTACTATATCTTAGGCATCTAAAATCCAATATCAAATAGATACTTGCTTCTCAAAAGCTGAAGTGAAACGTACGCTCTATGAATGCTTAGGACCTGTATTCACAGATAAGCGGAAATTACTTATTAATATTACGAATGAGAAGAATGTTAAAAATGTAAATTGGTTGTTTTCTAAAGCACTTTGGCATCTTCAGCATTTGGAAAAAGAAAATACTTCAAGGTTATTGCTTAATGCTGTAAGTGATTTCTTGGACTACTTTAACCTACAGGGTTGGGGAGATGGAGGTAGAAAGGAGTGACATTTAGATGGAGCCAGGCTTGGTGTACCTGCTGTGGACTAATTATTCTTCCGATTCCTCGATTTCAGTCACCAACAACTAAATGAAAACAAGCACCTATAACTGACAAGAAAAGAACGTTCAGATCTACAGAAAGAGAAGAATGCAATTTTCCTTCTGAGGAAGCAATTTTTAAAACTAGAAAGCAACAACCAATGTGTCACCCATGCTGTTTGCCCTGCCAGATACTCCCTCTGACTAAGCCTTCACATTTTCCCATTTAATATAATGATACATTGTTGTAAACAGTAAAAAACTAGAAAGAACAATCATATAGCCAACAAGGTTTTAATTAAATAAATTATGGCATACCTTCATTAAAAAATGGTATTTATGCTCAAAATATAAAATGACAGAAATATTCTTAGAATATAATATAAAAATATGAAATTGTATAACATAAATCATGACAATCCTATAAATGGGATTTTAAACACAGAAACTAAAGACTATAAGGAGGGGCAGGCATGGTGGCTCACACCTGTAGCCCTAGCACTTTGGGAGGCTAAGGCAAGAAGATCATTTGAGCTCCCTAGGAGTCTGAGACCAGCCTGGGTGACATAGTGAGAACTCGTCTCCATAAATAAAAATTAAATAAGTAAATACTATAAGGAAATATATCAACATAATTGTGATTATCACTGGGGATATAGTTATTAGTGATTTTAACTTCTTTGCTACGCTTTTCTCCATTTTTCAAATTAAGTTGGATTGGTTTCATTTTCTTATCATTATCTTTTTTTTTTTTTGAGACGGAGTCTCACTCTGTCGCCCAGGCTGGAGTGCAGTGGTGCGATCTCAGCTCACTACAAGCTCCGCCTCCTGGGTTCACACCAAGACAGGCTCTCCCTGTGTTGCTCAGGGTAGTCTTGAACTCCGTGTTCAAGTGACCCTCCTGTCTCCACCTCTCAAAGTGCTGGGATTACAGCACTTTGAGAGCCACACTGAGCACTTTGAGAGCCACATTGGTTTTAAAATAAAGAAAAAATAATATCCTCTTTAAGATACTTCCTTCTTATTTTATTTTTCCTTCAGAGGGCACTGTTTTAGGGCCTTAAATAGTAAACAGAATATTCTATTTCATATCATCCTTTCCCGAGAATATTTGTCAGCAGTTCTGTAAACAGAAGATCTAGTTTAAACACTGCAGACCTGAGATGCATACTTAGGGTTACATCACAGCATATACAGCACCAACTAGATTTTCCCAATATATTATTGTTACCTATAGCAAAGATAAAAATCTATTCCTAAGCATGTGGCTGTGCTATAATGATTCCTCTCTTAAGCTCGATGGTTTGATTCCCAAGGCTGAAAATATCAGTAACCTCTCTTGGTTACAGATATCACCAAATGCAAACATAAAAATAAACTGTGAATGGGATCTGATGTGGTTTGGATCTGTGTCCCCGCCCAAATTTCATGTAAATTGTAATCCCAGTGTTGGTGGGGCCTGGTGGGAGGTGACTGGATCTTAAAGGCAGATTTCCCACTTGGTGCTGTTCTCATGACAGAGTTCTCACAAGATCTGGTTATTTAAAAGTGTGTGGCGCCGCCTACCTCTCTCTCTTGCTCCTGCTCCAGCAATGTGAAGATGCCTGCTCCTGCTTTGCCCTCTGCCATGAGCCAAAGCTCCCTGAGGCCTCCCCAGAAGTAGATGCTGCCATGCTTCCTGTACAGCCTATTAAACCATAAGCCAATTAAACCTCTTTTGTTTAAAAATTACCCAGTCTCAAATATTTCTTCATAGCAATGTGAGGACAGACTAACAATACAGGATCTGAATGGATGCCCAACAGAAAGAGCCCTGCACTAGGTAGAAGTCAGGCCACCAAGGCTCTAGTCCTGGTTATGCTACTAAAATAGCTGTGTGACCTCGGTAAATTACAACTCAGAGTGTCGGTTTCCACATATGTAAAATTAGGGAATTCAAGGATCTACTTGCCTAAGGACTCTTCTGATAAAAGAACAAATGGCATCTGCAAATGAGTAAATATTATGGAGTCACATATAGAATGGAGTGATACTTCGGTTAACATAAACAGCTATGAAAATATTCTCCAAGGGTCCAGAGTCTACAATCCACAAGCCCCTCGTCTTCCATTAGCTAAATGTATGAGTTTCTGAAAATTATCTCATATCTTTGGACCACTGTAAAACAAGGCAGGTGGAATAGATGATCTCCAAGTCCCTTCTAATGCTAGATTTTATTATTTGGGATTCAAAGAAGAGTCTAGATAGGACAAAGAGAAACCAAGTTTAAAAAATGACTAAAGTAAACATTAAATTCTCTGACTTCCCTTGTTTTTATACAGGATTAGATTTTATTTAATTGTGCTATTTGGTAGAGGGTTAAGTGAGAGTAACAACTATATTCTAGTAGATGGTAGGATATCAATTATTTCTTTTAAAAAAGCATTATGATTAGGTTAAAATAAGGCAGACTCCAAGTCCATAGACCTATTAAACACCATTATGTATTTATTGTCTAGCACAGCGGGAAGAAGTCAACTGGGATACACAGCATTTCAGTTACTTTTAAGGCTGTCCAAATGCTGTGGCAAGATTTCATTGTACTGAGTAAGTGTCAAAAGGAATCCCAGGTACGTAGCAATTCAAAAGACACATTCCTTGCTCATATAAATTAGAAACAATTATGCTTTCCACCTGTAGTTTGAGTACTGAATGATATAATAATTTTCAAAGATATGGGTAATATATAAAGATGTGGTCCCAAAGTCTTTCATCACACCTCTTTTTATCCTACACACAATTCAGGTTAAAAATACTGCCTACATTTTTATTTTGATCATAACTCAGGACACCGCTGCACTGTGGCCTGGCAATAGCTTTCCTTCCTGCACATGTGCTATGTGTATACCACACTCAGGAGTTGAACAGCTTTGTCATAAACAAGGACTGATTTGAGCATTAGTTGTGCTGACTATCACAGACCTGGCAATTCACTGAGATTAGATCAACAGTACAACATTACAAAACCATCATCAAGGCTTGACAATATTGGTGATTTACCAAAGCCACCAAAATGGTACTTGGCCAATATCAATGCCCTCACTATAATATACCTAATTTTTTTTTTGAGGTGTGAGTCAACATGCCCAGCCAATATACCTAAATTAAGGGCTTCTGTGGAATTTATTTAATTATACATATAATATTTATCCTTTAATTTCTATTTGTGATACTAGATAAACATTGCAACTGTATATTTTACATTACAAGTTTTTGAGTCATTGAAAGACATTTGTTACAAGGAGTTATGTATAGGTATGTAATTACGTATTTTTGCATAATTATATAATACATGCAATGTACCATAAAAATAGGAGGCTACTGGCACATTGATTTCCACAAGTTACTATGTTCAATTATAGCAAAAAGCCTACACGAACATGTCAACCTGATTCTGCTTAACAAACATTTACAAAGTAGCTGCTAGGTACAGGGCACAGGAAAACATTCAGGGCATTCTTTAATCACTTCCTTGCCCTCAAGGGGCTTACAAGGACATTTTAGTTTCCCTTGCACTTAAAACACTTAGGTCAATGGTTCATTTTTTATAGAGTTCTTGGTAAGAGGTTTTGCTGGAAGTTAAGGAACTATATTTTTGCTACCAGCCTGTGTTTGGAAAGAGGACTATGGAACTGATCTTATTTGAAAGAAAATAGCCAGGATCTACTTGAAAATACTGAAATCTATGTTTCTACAACATAAATATTACGTGGCTATTGCTTGCCCATCCCCAGCCTGGTTCTGAGAGCACTGGGTTCACCTAGGGAAAAGGAAAAAGAAGAAAGTGATAGAGATAGAATTTGTTATACGTAAACAGCGCTAGGTTAGACTGGACAAAGAATAACAACCAGGCCCCAAGCATGTCACAAACATATCTTATTAACACTTCAAAGAGGGCATTTTTATCCTCATTTAACAAATGAGGCTCAAAGGGCTTAGGAAATTTGCCTGAGGTCACACAGCCATGTTGCAGCAGAACCAGGATTCTAATCAAGGGATGTCTCACTCCAAACACCACAAATTTCCACTCATCAGCTGCCTCTACGAAAAGATGATAGATACCTATGCAGGTACCTACCATTTGATCAAAACAAATATCTTTGACTTTAACTTTAATGCTGCACAAAGCGTTATGAGCACCTTTTCAGTTTTTTCTTTTTAAACTTCCTCTATAGTTAGATCCTTATCTTTGACTTCTAGTGCTTTTTTTTCTTTAGTCAATGGCGAAAGCTCGAAAGAGTGTGTAACACTTACTAACTGTTGGCACAAAGTTGAAATAGGTTTCCAATTGTTCTTTCTTACTTGTATAAGCATAAAATCCAATCCCTTCATTGATCGAAAGCAAAGTCAGGTTTCAAGAGCACAAAGACCAGGTCTCTAACTGACTGCTACATTCAATTGTCTTGTCTCAAATAACATAAACTAACATATGGAAACCTCAAAACTAAAGATCTGGTCAGGAAGCCAGAAGTGGACTTCAACCAACATAATTTTTCATTCCAGTTTTAGATGGTGGTGGAATTAGTTTGGTAAGATGGAATATACTGACACTCAGAGGCTATATCAAATTGTCATAAAGAGAAGAGACTATTAGAAGCATAAGGACTAGGAGAAGCCAAATATCTTTCAGTCAAGAAGCAATGAGAATGTGATTCTCAGATAAGAAACCTAAGAATTCAACAAGCAAAAACTCATACAAGAAAAGTTATGTTACAATCTGTGTTTAGACAACTGGAAGGTACTTTTGTTTATTGTGTGGTAAATACAACCATCCCTATAAAAACAGAAATGCCTGTTCATCTCCTTACTTCCCAGTCAATAGGCATTTGTCTTTAAGAAATGCCCAAACCAATGGATTAAAAAATATTATGTTGTTTAAGCCGAGGGATGCCTAATATTTCTGGCAACCACCACAAGTTAGGAAAGAGACATAGAATAAATTCTCCCTTAGTGCCTCCAGAAGGAACCAGCCCTGCCAACACATTGATTTTGGACTTCTAGCCTCCAGAGCTGTAAGACAATATATTTTCTGTTGTTTGAAGCCAGAAAGATATCATGTTATTTGGCAAGAATTTTATTTCTGAGAGTGAAGCATAAGCTACATTAAATTGTGTTATTTCGATGTGTTAATACAAAGAGATTTTTCAACTCTAAAGTAAATACAAGTCAATATGACCCATTATTCTGCATGTTAAGCATTACTTTCTGTCTCTCTCTCTCTCTCTCTGTGTGTGTGTGTGTGTGTGTGTGTGTGTGTGTGTGTGTGCATTTTGCTTTGTTTTATTTTTGAGACACAGTCTGACTCTGTTGCCCAGGCTAGAATGTAGTGGTGTGATCATGGCTCACTGCAGCCTTGACCTCCACCACCAGGCTCAGGTGATCCTCCCACCTCAGTCTCCAGGTAGCTGGGACTACAAGCACGCACCATTACGCTCAGCTAATTTTTTGGTATTTTCTGTGGAGATGGGGTTTCGCCATGTTGCCCAGGCTGGTCTCAAATTGCTGAGCTCAAGCGATCTGCTACCTCAGCCTCCCAAAATGCTGGGATTACATGTGTGAGCCACTGCACCTGGCCCTGCATTATGATTTCTTGGTTAGCACAAATTCATAATCTAAATGATGCTGTTCAATACAGTAAAAGCATTAGCCACCTGTGGCTACTTAAATTAATTAAAACTAAATAAAATTAAAAATTCATTTCCTCAATTCCTCAGCCACATTTCAAGCACTCAACAGTCGCATGTGGCCAGTAGCTACTGTATCGAACAGGACTGATGCAGGACGTTTCCATCAATGCAGAAAGGTGTGCCGGAAAGTGCTGGGTTAGAGGGATGAGATACGAGAACTATCACTTCCGTTTAAAGAAACTCCTGGCTTCTCATCCAACACTGACTCATAACACTCACATAATAACAGCTATACTCCACAGTCTCATAAATATCACTTTCTTTGATTTACAACCTAGAAAAACCAAACAATTGGCACTTTTTTATGCACAGTGGCAGGTCAGCATCTAGTTTGGAGACGATATTGTCCTTTCTGTTGGCAACTGTTATCTTGTGCAGTTCCATTTGTCTGGATTAGAACACAGTTGTGGTGAGAAAATGGAAAACATGATGTTCCCCCTTCAGCAATGATCCCGATTTACCCAGTGTTCCTTTTGGGATTGTTCCTATGTGACCATGAAGCGCATTTCATACCAACCGTAATCCTACACTTGCAAACAACCATCATAACTCAAGATAATAAAAGGATTGATCCTAGATAGAGGAAAGCTGTGAACTGCCGCAGGTCCAATATTCTCTCATTGAGATATATTGTGTTAAAACATTGTGTTAAATAACCATTAAGTAACAGTTATTAAAAAAAAAAAAAAAGTCCACCCAGGAGGCAGACAATCAATATTCCATTGGGTGCCTATAGCCCTTAAAATAGGTTTAGAGTCTTTTTTAACTATATTATAGGGCTTCAAAGTTCTTATGATTAATTCCTCAATTATATGTATTCTATTTAACTTATATTTATTTATATTTATCCTATTCTAATTATTTCATTCTACCTAATTCTTGCCTGAATTGAAGTCTCCAAATTCATTTGAGAATTATTTGAATAATTTTTCTCAAAACCAATGCCTTTAGCATTATGTTAAAACTTTTAGGCTTAGTGCAGTGGCATACAACTGTAATCCCAGCACTTTGGGAGGCTGAGGCAGGAGAATCACTTGAGGCCAGGAGTTCAAGACCAGCTGGGCAACATAGTGAGACCCTGTCTCTACAAAAAAAAAAAAAAAACAACTTTAAATTATCCAGGCATGGTGGTGCATGCCTGTAGTCCCAGCTAACTTGAGAGGCTAAGACAGGAGGATTGATTGAGCCCAGGAGTTAGAGGCTGCAGTGAGCTATGATTGGGCCTCTGTACTTGTGCTTTTGTGACAGAGAAAAACTCTGTTTCTGAAAAGATTAATAAATTAAAAAAATTTTAACTTTTGAAAGACTTTCATTTTAAACAAGGACTCAGTATTCATAGTATAAGAATGACAAAGAATAAAAATGAAACTAAGTCTTGCTATTAAAGCAACCTAGATTCCACGACATACATCCTTGAAGATAGCTGCGAGACATGCTTGTTCTGTGTTAACATGGAAACTGGATCCATCCTGTGATTGTTTTTTAACTTCTCTACTTACAATAAGCATATGCAATATGTTATAATGCTTAGAGCATAAATATAAGGAAAAACAATAAAGTGCATTACTGTGGCTACAACTATGACAAGAACTCTGACCTAAGCAAAAATAAATGGAAATTATTTCTTAAATTTGCAGCAGCCTGTGTGCAGTGCATGGCTCTTTGAGACACACAGGCCCTGAGACAGACTTACAGCCAGAGAAGATCTGGTGGTTTCTCATTAGGCCCCTGGCAGTGAGTATTTCAGAAAATTAAGTAGTTTATGGAGCACATACTCTTGAGACATTCCCTTGCTTGATTAGATGAGGCAAAAATACAATGTGGATGTGAATTCTAAACAGATGGGGAAAATAACCATAGAAAAGGAACTGCTGGCTTTGGCCAAATTGTTAAAGGTTCTCCTAATGGGCTAGCAGAATATGCTTCGTGGAGAAAGAAGTTAGAGGGGATCTGGCCACTACAAACAAAAAGCCAAAGTTAAATGCCCCACCACTGGGAAGGAGGGAGAAGATGATAATCAGAGAGAAAAACAAGGGGTGTTTCAGAGTTGCTGGTAATCTATTTCTTGACTAGTGATGACTAAACACGTTTGCACACTTTTAATAATTCAGCAAACTCTACACTTATAATTTGTGCACCTTTCCATATATATGTTACATTTAAATTTTTTTAAAGGAAAGGAAGTTAAATGCCGGACTCCCTAACTGAGATTCATATAGACTAACCTCAGAATCTGTGGGTTTCTGTGAAAGAAGTAACAAAAAGGAATTTGTTCAATGTTAACACTAAGGCATATCATTGAGTGAGACACATGTTGTTGTGGTGACATTTCATCTTATCGGGTCCGTTTGTGAACATTCTGGTGTGGCATTAGTCCAAACTCATTGCTGCATACTAAACAAGATGCTCTCTGTTTGACTGTTTGGTACTAACCAATGCTGTTGTCTGTCAGCAGGCAGATATAGAGGACCTCATAGATACACAGCACTGTCTGCACTGGCCATTGTGGCAAGAGAAGTATTCTGCACACAGTGAGATTAAAATGACTTGTGGATTTTTTTCACAAGTAACAAGTATAAAATAATACAATTCATACTAAATTATAAGTGCTAAAGGAAGAAGGACTAAACACCTATATTATTTTAATTAAAGAGGATCTCCAAGAATTGGCAACGGTCTTTGTTTTTTATCTTGAGACAGGGTCTCTCTCTGTTGCCCAGGCTGGAATGCAGTGATGAAAACACAGCTTACCGCAGTCTCCATACTTGGGCTCAAGCAATCCTCCTGTCTCAGACTCCTGAGTAGCTGGGACCACTGGTGCATGCCACCACACTCTGCTAATTTCTAAAATTTTTGTAGAGATGGGATCTTGCTATATTGCCCAGGCTGGTCTTAAACTCCTGTGCTTGGGTGATCCTCCCACCTCAGCCTCCCAAAGTTCTAGGATTACAGGCATGAGCCACTGCACCAGCCCACGGGGAGTAATTTATAAAGAAAAGAAATTTATTTCTCACAGTTCTGAAGGCTGGTAAGTCCAATACCAAGATGCCAACATCTGTTGAAGGCCTTCCTGCTGCATCATCCCATGGTGGAAGGCAGAAGGTCAAGAGAGCATACGTGTGAGAATGCAAGAGCAAAAGGGGGCCAAACTTATCCTTTTATCAGGAGCCCACTCTCACGCAAATGCCATTAATCCATTCATGAGGGTCTTGCCTCTTAAAGGTCCCACTTT
Organism: Homo sapiens; assembly: GCF_000001405.40. Lineage (NCBI taxonomy): Eukaryota > Metazoa > Chordata > Mammalia > Primates > Hominidae > Homo > Homo sapiens. The sequence continues at coordinate 37,132,232 of NC_000014.9, forward strand.
CAAACATTGTTGTATTGGGGATTACGTTTCGCACATAGGAACTCTGGGGGGACACATTCAAACCACAGCATAGGGTGAAGGAGAACTTCACAAGCAGAGGAGCTGGAATTCAAAACCCAGCAGCCTGGTTCTGTCTTAACCACTATACTCACAGGAAAGCTGGGAGAGGACAGCATAGGTTGAAAGTGCAAATTTAAAGGTGTGTCTGAAAAAACAGGCCAAGAATTTTACCTTGCTGGTGATAGACACAGATGAGGTAAAATAGAAAGACTTTTCAGGCAACTGTTTCTGGAGGGATTGAAAGAGCTTCTGACGCCACTGACTTCCTTGACATGTTCTGTAACTTTAGCTTCCACGGCACTCTTTTCTTCTATTCTCTCTACCACCCTGATGATTCATCTTTCAAATTCATGTCTCTTTCTTTTCCCTCTCCATTTTCTCTGGCATTTTTCAGGGTTCTGAATGTGCTCCTTTTCTACCTTTCTGGCTTCTCTCATAGCTATATTTTTTTTTTTTAAGACAGGGTCTCACTCTGTCACCCAGGCTGGAGTTCATTGGCACAAACACACCTCACTGCAGCCTCAACCTCCCCAGGCACAGGTGATCCTCCCACTTCAGCCTCCCGACTAACTGGGACTACAGGCACACACCACCATACCAAGCTAATTTTTGTATTTTTTTAGAGATGGGGTTCCACCATGATGCCTAGGCTGGTCCCAAACTCCTGGGCTCAAGCAATCCTCCCGCATCAGCCTCCCAAAGAGTTGGGTTTACAGGCATGACCCAGATAGCTATGATTCTTAACAGGGCTATGAATGGGGGGATCTTTAAGTATTACAGATAAGGATGTTGTTTTAAAATCCCCTCAGGTGGGCCTGATACACATACCCCACCTTACTGTGTGCACTCGTGCACACACACACACACACACACACACACACTCATGCAAACACACAAACACGAGAATCACTGGCTGATAAATATGCTGATGACTATCAAACTTTTTTGGACACCCCATCTATTTCCCAACCACCTACTGAACAATTCCAACCTCAGACACATAAATCATAGATAACTATTCCCCAGTCCCTCTGTTGACATTCCCTTTCATGCCTAATAGTATCACACCTTAGCTCACAGTCTCTGTGAGGCTCTTTCTCCACTGACTTCCCAAATCGAATCTACCACCAAATCCATGTGATTCTCCTTCAAATACAGTCCTCCTTCTCTTTCCCACTGCCACTGCCCTAACTTAAGTTTTCATCTACCCTCCTCTAAATAACTGCAACAACCTTCCGACTAGTCCCCTTATGCTAATTCAGCCTCTGTATCACCAATTTATCTCCCCTAAATAGAATCTACACATCCCCCCTTGTAAACAAATACCTCATACACCATAAAAAAAAAACCACCAACACCTGCCCTAACCCACCTCTATAACTCCATTACTGTTCCCTGTCTCCTTCCCCTCCTCCAGACCCTACACATCAATCATGCTAAACCTGTTGTCCCTCTATGAGTGGACAATAAGCTTTCATGCTTCCGTTCCACTACAAGTGCTACTTCCTCTGCCTACATGTTCTTGTTTGCTCAGAAAACTCCTACTCACCCTTCAATACCCAACATAATTATTTACTTCCTCAGTAAAATCATTCCTGGCTCCCTTTTCTAGGTCTCACAGTACTGGGAGGCTCCTGCAGGTGCAGGACCCAACTTATACCATGATATCCTCTCATTCCCAAACTCAGTAACTGGCAACTGGAAAAAACTCAATACAGTCAATGTTTTTGCTCAGTGAAGACCTGAGAAACATCCCAGGAAGATAAGTAGCTATTGAGATCATCTAATCAAAAAGCTATAAACTATGAAAATAATGGTGATCAAAATGGAGAGAGGGAGGTGGGCCACAGAAGTTAGCGACAGTCTTGATGAGGAGTATACAAAATAGAATAAAGATCAGAATAACCAATATTTTTGTACTTGTGAGACTTGAAGGTTGATGGTTCATGAATAGTACTAGAGAAATTAGGAACATTTATTCCCTATGATGAGTCCTTTTATATCAACTTAAATTATGTAGAAACTATGTGAAAATTATTTCAAATAATTGTAAAATTAAGAGAGCCTCTAAGTAAAATAATTATCCTTACGTCCTCAATGGCAGAGTTATTACTAGAAATCAAGTATCCTGACACTCAGTACTTTTTCCACTGTAGTATCCTGATTCTTTAGATTTCAAGTTCCAGACTTGAAAGCTGACTGTTTCAGCAGGGCACAGTGGCTTGCGCCTATTATCCCAGCTACTTGGGAGGCTGAGGTGGGAGAACAGCTTGAGCCCAGGAGGTCAAGGCTGCAGTGAGCCATGCTCACTCCACTGCACTCTAGCCGCCTGGGTCACAGAGTGAGACTCCATCTCTAAAAAAAAAAAAAAAGAAAGAAAGAAAGAAAAGAAAAGAAAAGAAAACAAACAGCAACAACAAAAACCTGACTATTCCAGAAAAAATGTTGAAATATAGGGAGTTACCAGATGAATTCCCTTGAAACGGAGCTTCATAATCAACCTTAATATTGTATGTCTTGGCCAAGTGTGGTGGCTCATGCTTGTAATTCCAGCACTTTGGGAAACCCCAGCAAAAGGATCACTTGAGTCCAGGAGTTCAAGACCAACCTGGGCAACATAGCAAAATCTCATCTCTACTTTTTTTTTTTTTTTTGAGACCGAGTCTCACTCCGTCACCCAGGCTGGAGTGCAGTGGCATGATCTCGGCTCACTGCAGCCTCCACCTCACAGGTTCAAGCGATTCTCCTGCCTCAGCCTCCCGAGTAGTTGAGATTACAGGCACACGCCACCATGCCCAGCTAATTCTTGTACTTTTAGTAGAGAAGGGGTTTTACGTTGTTGACCAGGCTGATCTCGAACTCCTGACCTCAAGTGATCCACCCACCTTGGCCTCCCAAAGTGCTGGGATTTCAGGCGTAAGCCACCACGCCTGGGCCTCTACAAAATATCTTTTAAAATTAGCTGGGAATGGTGGTGTTCACCTGTAGCCCAGCCACTCAGGAAGCTGAGATGGCAGTATCACTTGAGCCCAAGGAGTTTGAGGCTGCAGTGAGCTATGATTTTGCCACTGTAATCCAGCCTGGGGAACAGAGCAAGATCCTATCTCTAAAAACATATAATAAAAAACGTTTTAATAGTTACCCAGGCTGGTCTCCAACTCCTAGGCTCAAAAGATCCCCCCACCCTCGGCCTCCCAAAGTGCTGAAATTACAGGCATGAGCCACCATGTCCAGCAGAAAAACTAAAAATTCTATGTCTTCTCTGCAATTCTTGCCCTTGGCAAATTTACTTGACATCATTTTTATTGGACCACCTCCATTCCATTTCATTGCATGTCTTCCCTGAATTTGAATCCTATGGCATCCTCATTATTGATCTAACAAGGACACTACTTTTTCCCTAAACATTTTAACAATTTTGTTGAATGGGAAAAATAGTAGAGTGCTACAATCTTTCGTGAGAGCTCTGAAGCCAAATTACCTCGGTTTGAATCCCAGCGCTGCCACTGACAACATCAGCATGCGTTACGTGACCTCCTCAGTTTCCTAATTAAATGAAATTGTTGGTAGGTCCCATAAAACCTGGTTCTGCTCTTATCTTAGAACAGTACTTTGCACATAGTAAGTGCTCAATAAATGGTATGTATTATGATAGTAACTATTATTATCACTTATATAGTGATAGTTCAGTGACTAGTCCATCTTACTATCTATATTAATGTTATCTGTCTTAGCTTATAAATTCCTTGGTTGTCTATGGAATGGAAAGATGGACATCTAATCAAAGGTTTGGAATGATACCTAGCACAGAACTAAACATCACAACTAATTAGAAATAGACATTCAATAAACTAGGGAGACATTCTGATCTCCTGACTGTACTCTAGTAGTTATCTTAGTATGTGCTAGTTTCCCCTCTGTCTTTAAAATGAATTGTTCTCAACTATTAATTAAAATGGTCTTGTCAAATTATGAGTTTATCTCACCTTGAAATCAAATCAAAAAGAAGAAACAGTAGAAAAGCATGAGTTTAAATAGCCTTTCATGCCTAAGTATGATTATGCACAGAGAAAGAAACAGAAAATAAATATTTACTTATCCAGAATTCAGCTGTATGAATCCAGGAAACATTTTTTTTCCTGTCACTATTAATTAAAGACATGGATATTCCTACATGCCAGAGATGTTGTTATAATTAAGTTCTTTTAAGAACTTGTTATTAATATTTCAACAATCTGGAAATCATACTCCCAGGTATTCACCCAAATGACTTGGAAACTTATATCCATTTAAAAACCTGCACACAAATGTTAGCTTTATAGCAGCATTATTCATAATTGTCAAAATCTGGAAGCAACCAAGATGTCCTTAAATAGTTGAATGGATACAAAAATTATACTATAACTTATACATGGGAATATTATTCAGCAATTGAAAAAAAATGAGCTATTAAGCAACAAAAAGACATGGGAAACCATAAATGTATATTGCTTGGTGAAAGAAACCAGTCTGGAAAGGCTACATATTGTATCATTCCAACTGTAAGACATTCTGGAAAAGAAAAAATTGTGCAGAGAGTAAAAAGATGAGTGATTGTAGGGGATATAGGGCAGGGGGAATGGGGAGAGAAAAATAGGTGGAACACAAGAAATTTTTAGAGCAGTGAGAACTATTCTGTATGTCTGAAATCTGTATGGCACTGACTTTTTTTGTTTTTGTTTTGTTTTGAGATGGAGTCTCGCTCTGTCGCCCAGGCTGGGGTGCAGTGGCGCAATCTCGGCTCACTGCAAGCTCCGCCTTCCGGGTTCACGCCACTCTGCCTCAGCCTCCTGAGTAGCTGGGACTACAGGCGCCCGCCACCTCGCCCAGCTAATTTTTTGTATTTTTAGTAGAGACGGGGTTTCACCGCATTAGCCAGGGTGGTCTCAATCTCCTGACCTCGTGATCCGCCCGCCTCGGCCTCCTAAAGTGCTGGGATTACAGGCGTGAGCCACCGCGCCCAGCTGGCACTGACTTTTGAATGCTGGTATTAAATAAATATAAATAATGGTATTATGTTTATGTTTAAATATTATTATTTATGTCAATATGTGAATTACATTTCTTTTCAAAATTTAATTTTGCCCATTATGCAAAAACACAATTATAATTTCTTGTTAGAAGCATATATGCCAGCTTAAAAAGAAGCATAGATACCAGCTGATTTTCTTATAGAATTTTGTCATTGTTTATAAGATGTATAAGATTGTATTAAGATAAAATATAAAGTAAATAAGAAAACCTCCGTTAGTAGCTGTCAAATGCATCATTTGTGCCAGCTGCCTGACTTTTATACATTACTACATTGTAGGATCATGAGTAAAGCGAAAAAGAATGTGGATGATGTGATGTGTATAAGCCATCAATACTATGTAGTCGGCCTAATCTACAGAGTGGTAATTATTTCCACTATTCTCAAAAGTAAAACATATATCATTAATGGAGCCATAAGGCATCAAGTCTTCCTTAAAATGTATAGTCTACTACCATTTAACATGTCTGTATGTCAATGAATTCGTTCTACAGGTATTAATTAACAACTGACACTCAATAAAATATGTTGAAAAAATTAAAGTATGCTAAAGGTGAATCATCCATTAAGGACACATTCATCAATGTGAATACAGTATTAGTATTTGCCTTTAAAGTGCTTTTACTTATGTTGCTTACATTCCTAGATGCCTTTTTGCCTTCATTTTGCCCCAAAACTTGTTTCTTAAAATATCTGCTCATATTCCACTTGCTTCTCTCCTGAGTGATTATCAATCACTTTGGATGTTAGATGGTGACAAGAGAGCCAGATGTAATATCCCACCCCTAAACACGCATTTATTCCCAGGTGACTATTTAAAAAGCAACTCAAGAAATATGATCCCATTTTCAGAAAACTGAGGCAAGGAGAAAGACAATAAAAGATACGAAGAAAAAGAAAAACAACAAACACTAGTTCTAGAAGTTTTACTTACCTCGATTAAAGTATATACTTTGGCATTTAAGGGAGTCATATTCAAAATTTATAAGATATGGCCTTTATGCCATTTATTTTTATTTAAACTAAGTTCCAAAACAAATAATTCTTATTAACTGTTTAAAATTTGAGAGAAAATGTGAAGATTTTCATTGTAGACCATGTTTTCTTCAATTAAAATCTCCATAGCAAAGTGATTTTTAGTATATAGCATTCTTGCTGCTGATAGAAATGACAGTCTGTTAATATTTATATAGCTCTGCCTTAAATTCATTTGTTCATATACATTAATTTATTGTCTTTGGACAATATCTCTTATCTTTTATCTATTTCACTCCACTCAATTTCCTATGCATTTCTAATACCTCCAACTGCTAATTTTCCTTCATTGAAATGTTAAATATTATTTATGAGCTCCTTAAAAATCTTCTATATATACTAACATGTTATAATTACATTGATTTTCATAAAGAAAAAATTAGTTCTGAAAAAGAAAAAGCTATTTTAAATGTTTATATTCTATCCTAAAAAATAGTCTTCAACTGAATTTTTTGGTAAACTGTGTTGCAGTTTTTTACTAATGTTCTTTGGTTCAGTATAAATGATATGGTAAATTTGCATTCAAATTCATGGAACTTTTGAAATCTGTTTCCCATCTAGCTGGCCAGCCAAAAACAATATTTTCATTTGTAAACAGCTGTTTCATAATCAGCTCTTTTGTACTACGTGGAATTCCATAAAAGATAGAACATTTTATTTAAAATACAGGAATCGCATTAATCCATCACAAATCATTGATTAGTTTTTGTATACTACCACACATTTAACTTATAGGGAAAGATTTTAAGGAAAATTTAATCTTGTGTCCAAATGTAACATTACTTTAAACATGAGGTCATCTAAACATCTGTCTCCAATATATCACTGGGGATTTAAATCAAAAGTCTGCTAAACATGTACAATCATTTTGAAAATAAATAACAGGACAAATTCTGTCTTGATTATGATTATCATGCATTTTAAAAGGGAACATTTATTCTAATAAGAAAAGTCTGAACTAATTTAAACTTTATTGACATTAAGTTAAAATAGTTTCATACAAGAGTAAGAGATATATTTCGTTTATTTGCTGCATAACAATGCTTATATTTCAACTTTTCAACATTATACTCTTAAATTTTTACTCACAAAAAAAACTGATACCTTTATCCCTCCATATATTTTCAATAGTAAAATATTCAAGGAAAAATTTCAAGACATAAAATTTTCCACTCAGTAACTGAAAAATGAATAACACAATTTTCTTCCTGAACTTTCCTTCCTTTAGGGCAACACTATGAATCTTCAAGAAGAACTAAAATAGTTCTATCCATTTAACTGACTCCTATGTTACGCTTTAAAATAAAAGAATGTAGCTAATTACAAAAGACAGTGAAGGCAGTACATTCCCTTCAAGACTTTATAATCATCAAAAAGTCAGTGTATTTCTTAAATGATTAATTAAACTCTACACCTGACTTGTGTCTGGTAAGTATGAGCATTTAATTCACCAACAGGATATCTTCAGAAACCAGCTAAATACTTGAGATGAATACGCATTAAAAATAAACCACAATGCTTAATCATCAAAGCAATTTCTGCCGAAACTAAAATGAACATTAGCAGTTGAAGAACCGGAGGAAATAAAATTAAAGCATCACTGAATAGTACATTCTTAGAAAAACACCATAGCTTCCCCTAATGCTGCAGAAATCATCAAAGAACCCAGCTGCAAGGAATATTAATGTCCAGGTTTGTCTCACATCTAGTTGGCTGTTGCAAACTGTAACTGTAGGTGGTAGTTATGGTTTTCTGAACCACCTCACTGCATTTCTTCTTTCTGCTTATATCCCGAAGTTGCTAACTTTGGCCATGGCAATTTCAGATCATATATTCTGCCTTGGTAGATACAGGATAAAAACTTTAAAATGTATTCACAGGTCTCTGAGTGTAATTCCTTAAGGGCAAGAACTATGACTTACTAATTTTGGATATCCATTCCCTAGAACCACATCTGACACATATCTGCAGCTTGATAATTCTTGGTAAATGCATGAATGACTTGATGAAATGAACATCTGACTAAAACCAAAAACTTTTGCCTGGCTCTGCTGAACTGCCTACTAATACACTGCTTTAGTTTTCCCACCTATAAAATGAGGCTTATCCTTGCCCTGCACCCTCACTGAGGTATTGGGAGAATTGAACGAGAGCATAAACACAAAAATTTATTGTAAAACTAGCAGTAGCAAACTAGTGTAATCATTTTGATCATCAACAATGTATCTAGGTTAAATTGTATATGCAGAAAAACAGATACTGAATGTTATATGAAGTATTTATTTATAAAAACATTCTTTTGAAGAAGCTCAAAATTGAAATAACATGCTTCCAAAATATGTGGTATGTTGAAACAGAGAAATTCTCTTTTGAAAATACAGTTAAAGGACTGGGGGCTAAGAAATCCCTTTGGAAAAGTTAAGTCTGGTGGTACCATTTTTTTTTTTAACTTTATAAGATCTTAGAGCTGGGCACGGTAAGGCTCACGCCTGTAATCCCAGCACTTTGGGAGGCTGAGGCGGGTAGATCACTTGAGGTCAGGAGTTCGAGACCAACCTTGCCACATGGCGAAATTCCGTCTCTACAAATAACACAAAAATTAGCCAGGCGTGGTGGTGCAGGCTTGTAATCCCAGTTACTTGGGAGACTGAGTCAGGAGAATCACTGAACCAGGGAAGCGGAGGTTGCAGTGAGCTAAGATCACGCCACCGCACTCCAGCCTGGGTGACAGAGAGAGACACTGTCTCAAAAAAAGAAAAAAAAATCTTAGGAACTTAATAATTAACACCTTTTGTATTACGAGGAAGAAATTCAAGCTTTTTTATATAATTAATACAACTGAGCAACTGAGTTTATCTCAAACTTTAGCCTTCCCAGTCCAAAAGCTGAATACCATAATGACTAGCTAAAGATGCTAATTCAGCATTAGCAATGTAAAGCATGTTTTTGTGTGTTGCCAGTGTTTTCCTCAACACATAAAACACACAAAAAATCTGTGGTCAAACAACCACAGACATGATCTAAGTGAGAAATCTTTGCATTTATACTGGCCTTTGTATTAAAATAGCATAGAATTGTCTATGATTATTTCTTTCAATTAACTGCGTTTTTAAAAAAAAAACTGAAATATAAAAATAATTTTGCTTTAGTGTAGCTTCCATTTGTGTAACTTTATCTCACACATTCAAATTTGAGTTACCGGCTATTTTATCATTTTCCATCTTTTTCCTAGTAGATTTACTTTACTACGTAAATGTTAGTAGCAAGTTGCCCCATTAAAAATCAGTTAATTTTGTTTTTCTTTATTCTATTACTCAAAATACCTGAAACAAAATATGTAAGGTACTATATGTCACTTTTTATATTTTTCTAGATTGCACTGACTTTATTTTTCAGAATAACCACTGTAATCAGCTATTTCTACATTTTCGTCTGAGTACTTTGATATGATACAGGCTCCATCCTCAAGGATAGTATTTCTCAATCTTGGCTGCACATTGGACTCAGATAGAGCGACGTAAAAAATGCTGATTCCTGGGTCCAATTCCCAGAGGTTCTGATGTAGTCAGTGTGGGTTGCGACAGTGGCCTCTGCATCTTTTCATGTTACCCAAGTGATCCTAAAGTGTAGTCAAGGCTGAGAACCATGGCTCTGGGAACTCACAGTCTTGTAGGGGAGATTAATAACAACAGTAACCAACCCATTTATGGTGTGCTTAATTGTGCCAAACAGCAGGCTAAGCATTTTATGTGCCTCATCTCATTTAACTCACAACAACCTTATGGAGAAAGATTCTGTTACTATTCCTATTTAAAGACTTGAGGATTAGAAAGATTAAGAAACTTGTCCAAGGTCCCACCAGTGATAATTGACTGAGACAGAACTCAAACAGCTCTGTCCAACTCCAGAGTGGTAGCTCTTCATCACAGACTATCATCGAGGTAGAAACCATGCCATAAAAAGATATTATATTCCTTTTTGGAGACAGGGTTTTGCTCTGTTGCCCAGGCTGGAGTACAGTGGCTTGGTCACAGCTCACTGCGGCCTCAGCTACCTGGGCTCAAGCGATTCCCGTACCTCAGCCTCTCAAGTAGCTGGGACCGCAGACAGGTGCTACCATATCTGGTTCATTTTTTATTATTATTTGTAGAGACGAGGTCTCACTATGTTACCAGGCTGATCCGGAACTCCTGGGCTCAAGCAATCCTCCCGAGTAGCTGGGATTAGGGCCATGAGCCACCATGATGGGCCTAAAAGATTTTTTTAACGGGGCAAGTCATAGTGTTCATGAATAGAAGTGACAGAAGAATTACCTCCGAGGATACACAACCACTGAAATTAGGCAGATATTAGAAATGTCCGTTTTTCTCCTTAGCCTGACTGTCAGAATGAATTGTAAATTTTCTTCGAAATAGTAGTATCTGAGGCAAAGAACACTCCTAGGCAGTGGCCCAGTCTAGCTGGATACCTCTCAGTTGTCAAGGACACAGGAAGGAACAATGAAATCATTATTTGACTATTATTTTTTTAGTTGCTAGTCAGCATCTAAGTCTGTCTGCAAACTGCATCTCTGCATTCCCTACAGGCAAAGGGAGCTGTCCCTCCTGGTAGTGACAGAATAACCACAAACAAAACAGTCCTCCTCAGGGGAAAGCCATCTTTATCTGTCAGTATTAGTCAGCTGAGAAACATAGCTGCAGGCAGCTGAAAAAACAGTTTGCCTGTTTTAAGTTTACAGGTGGCCTTATAATGGAAAGTTTTACATACTGAGATTCCTTTTCAAGTTAAAAAAGTTTGGACAAAAAGGGACAAAATTTGGCAGGATTTTCATGCAATGCTTCTAACCAGCTTACGAAAGCAAAATATCAAATTTTAGTGAAGCTTGGTGAACTAAGCACCCGCCTGCTGGCAAACAGGCTTAGCTAACTGCTCCCACCCTTTCTGCACTGCACATTCCTCGTGGTTCAAATCAGAATGGCCACACATACCTGCTGTCACAGGGGCTGGCTATACAAAACACCCAAGAAATGTTTTCCGAAGGAATTCATGGACATTGGAGATAACTAACTTTAAAAATACTTTTGAAAAGCAGATTGTAAACAGAGTAACATAATAATAATGTCAGCGTGTAAACAATAAAACAGCTGCTTAAAGCCCAGGTAAAAGGCATTTTAATGTGTCTGTTCATTAGCGTGTGTGTGTGTGTGTGTGTGTGTGTGTGTCTGTAATTTGTTTAAGAGGAACAAGTATGAAAGGGGAAGAAGGCATTTGACTGATTTCATCATCATTGTCAGCATGGATCAGATATTTGGGGTTCCATGAACACCTATTGTGCTTTCCCCAGCATCTGGGGCAATGGAGCAGACAGGGCCAGTTTATTCTGTAAGTGGTTCAAAGTTTCTTTTTCCTGGTTTTCCTATCATAGCTTACATTTTGTCTGAGGAAAAGGCACAGTTTGGAATCTATCAAAAGCAGTTAAATTGTTGGAAACATCTAACACATTACAAAGTATAATTAATTAAATTTATCAATGCAGTTGCTGTTTTCCTAGAATAAAATGGGGGTTTTAGAAAGTCAAATTCAGCAGTTATTGACAAGAGTCAGAAAAGCATGCAGTGACTTGGTGGGAAGCTCGGGACAGGTCTTGACTGAGAGCACTGATCCTTGGGGTCGAGGGCTTAGAAAAAAATACAGAAACTAATGAGAAAAAGAGAGCCAGCTAATTACAAACTTGAGTAATAATGTCACTGTCAAATCTTGGGAAAAGGACTGACAGATTCTATTTAACCTATAAATCAGTAGTTGTCAATTAGGTGGTCTCTTTACCACTGGGGTGAAATATGGAAATGATTTATTTAAATTAAAGACAAGGCCTTTGTATTACTTATCTCAATTAATAATGATTGATCAAATTTGTTTCAAAAAATGTTATGCAATTTAACACCTCAGAAGTTACTATGAATGATAAATAGAATACCTACACACATATACATTCTCTTCTTTTAAAAAAATTTAGGTTTAGAGGAGGGGAGTGAACCAAATTATTTGATAGAGTGACTACTAAAATATTAGTTAAGAACCACTCCTGTGGACCCACTGTGGAATATTGGAAAGGAAGTCTCCAGAAGCAAAGTAATGACTCCATTTTCAGGGGTGGCAGAGGGGAAAACAACTTCATCAGGTGAAAAAGAAGATTATGTTAATGAAATCCAGGTTTGAGCACAAAACAAAATTCTACTGCCCCAAATCAGTAGTTAAGTGAAATAAGATAAAGTTTCTAGAATGTAAACAGAAATATAGTTTATATTATAAAAGTAGAAAGAATTATAGTTAGCATATATGCATGTATTCATAAGATGTGTCACTCATATGTGAAGTTGTTTTGGGTTTTTTTTTTTGTTTTTTTAGTATTTTTAGTAGAGATAGGATTTCACCATATTGCCCATGCTGGTCTTGAATTCCTGAGCTTGAGCGATCAGCCTGCCTTGGCCTCCCAAAGTGCTGTGATTACACGCCCAGCCTGGGTGGTTGTTGTTGTTGTTGTTGTTGTTGTTGTTGTTTGTTTGTTTTTAATATTTGGAAGAGTCTTAACTACTCATATGTTTTCCCTCTCCATTAATAATAACTAACACAGAGCATTCAGGAAGTGCTAGTCACAATTCTAAGCACTTTACATGCCTCAATCCATATGATCCTTCCAATAACCAATGAGGTAGATTGCATCCTATCTCTATTTTATGGGTAAGGCACAGAGATGTTAAGCTGCCTGCCCAAGGTAACACAGCTAGTAAGTATTAGAGTTGGGATCTGGTATCAGGCATTAAGACATCAGAATCCCCATAGAATACTACCTCCTTCTCTTACCTCTATTCTCTATTTTTTTTAAGAGATGGGGTCTCGCTCTGTTGCCCAGGCTGGAGTCAAACTCCTGGGCTCAAGCAATCCTCATGCCTTAGTCTCAGGAGTAGCTGGAACTCCATGCCTGTGTGCCCAGATTTACCTCTATTCTCTTTGTAGCATGAAGTGAAATCTAAAATACTAAAATACACACACACACACACACACACACACACACACACAGAGAGATGAGCTAAATAACTCTTTGGGACACCACAGTAGGAATTTAATAGACTAGAACAGAAAATTAAGATTAGGTTGCTATGACCCCACTGAGTAAGTCCCCTATCATATGACTGCCACATGTGTGGGATTGACTCAGATATCCCTGAGGGCATGTGGGGCAAGTAGAAAGATGGGCTGGAAAAAACTACAACTAACACAATGACATTTGAGCTTGAGAAAACAAACCTACCTCCAAACTGTAAGCAACTCAACAATCAGATACTCTATACTTCTTCTAACTATTCCTGGAAAGCCAGGTATTAGGAAAAAACAGGTCTCCATCCACACACAGTCAAAATTCAGGAAGACAAATTTCTAGGTTCACAGAATCAATGGGACTTGGATTGACTCCTTCTTAGAGTAACCAGGGCAGGAAAACTAGAGCCCTTTTTTATTTCCTTTTGCAGCTATCAGGAATAAAATGGAACAGTACATCGTCTACAGCATTCGGTTCCTAGGGTAATGTCTCAATTTGATGGCAGGCAAACAGCAATGATTCTCCTCACCACCAATGACACTGGGCATGAAGGAAACAGCACCCACTCCTTCAGATTGTTTAGGAAATATCTCCCTACCATCTTGATGAAAAGTTTTGAAGTTTTAAATTAATTCACATTAAAAATTGATAAATAAAACACTTGACATTTATTCATTCATCTATTCATTCGACAAATGTTTATTGAGTACCTGTCCTGTGCCAGGTTATCTTTTAGGCACTAGGGATACACCAGAGTACCAAACAGACCAAGAGTTTCTTTTGTGTGTGTGTGACAGTATATACAGTGGTACAAACATGGCTCCATGCAGCCTTGATCTCCTGGGCTCAAGCAATCCTCCCACATCAACCCCCCTAAGTAGCTAAGGCTACAGGAACGTGGCATCACCCCCAGCTAACTTCTGTATTTTTAGTAGAAACAGACTTTCACCATGTTACCCAGCCTGGTCTCTAACTCCTGACCTCAAGAGATCCGCCTGACTTGGCCTCCCAAAGTGCTGGGATTACAGGCCTGAGCCACCACACTCAGCCCAGACCAAGAGTTTTACCTTCATGAAGCTAATAGTCTACTGATAAAGATAAGAAGAGCATGTTTTAATATATAATAAATGATGTCATTATTTTACATCATTTATTCAACAATTAGTATTATGCATTCATTCTTACATTTAACTAAACATGTCAATGTTACTTACAGATCAATAAAATTTAAAAACTAGGGTATTTTATTTTAATTTAATATGTAGCTATTTTCTCAGCTATGCAATGCTGATAAAATATATATGAAAAGTGTGACATGTCTCATGTTTATTCAAATGTAAGAATACATAGATTCATATACGCCGCACAAAACATAAAAAATGCAGGTATTTTCCAATCTAGAAATAGTTAATTTGCTAACAACTTGTACATACTAATGATCACTACAGCTCCCATTTTCTCCAACCTTAATGCCTCCTAATTCCCAACTCTGGTTTGCACTTGCCCTTTGGTTCTTCTCTGCTGTCGGACTGTTCACCAACCATCCATTTATTCATTGCACAAGGACGTACTAGGAACCACTGGAGTGAGACCCTCTAGAACTCCTTCACCCTTGTCTCTTAGGACTAGGGCCTCTTGGAAGTTGAAAGAGACCCAAGACTCTTCTACTAATTGGGAACTCTCAAAATACTATTATAAAAAATAAAGAAATGCCAGTTAACAGCGTTATTAAAATTTACTTTAAGGACTTACATTTCACATAGTAATTCTTTTAACAGACACAATTGCAATGACAAAGGCAATGACTTTATATCTGCCCATATTTGAAAGAAATGTCAAAAATTCAAATTTATAAAGCCCTCTGTGAAATATGAGGCCCTATTCAAATGGCCCTCCTGGTCTTGTCTGTCACCCTTTCCTTCTTGGCTGCTGGCACCTTCCTATCTCATTGTCAACGAGAAGCCACCACACTATCTCCACATCTGAGTATCTCTATCCCATTCTCCACCAGTTAGAGCTCTTAAAACCTCCAGGGAAGCTAGCCTCAGAAGGACAGAGGACCCTATATTTGGGCTTAGGAATCCTAAATGCCCTAGGGCTTAGAGCTGCCATTACTGGTATTTCACACTTATTTCAGGTTTTTTTTTTTTTTTAAAAAAAAGGAAGAAAATTTTTGTGGCTTGCCCATGAATTGCATAACATTGTTCTAGGGGGAAATGCATTCTGACCTCAAACTCACCTAAAACTACAGATTTTTGAAACATGACATATATGTTTAGGGCATTACATGAGACCACACTTTTTCTCACACATGGTAACTATATTTCCTTTTTCTTTTTTTTCTTTTCTTTTTTTTTTTTTTGAGACAGAGTCTCAACTCTGTAGCCCAGGCTGGAGTGCAGTGATGTGATCTCAGTTCACTGCAACCTCCGCCTCCCGGGTACAATTCTCCTGCCTCAGCCTCCCGAGTAGCAGGGATTGCAGGCACTCACCACCACACCTGGCTGATTTTTGTATTTTTAGTAGAGACGGGGTTTCTCCATGTTGGTCAGGCTGGTCTCGAACTCCTGACCTCAAGTGATCGGTCTACCTGGGCCTCCCAAAGTGCTGGGATTACAGGCATGAGCCACCACCCCCAGCCCTTATTTTCCTTATGTATTTTGCTTATATGTTTTTCCTACATATGGTAACTGTGAGTCTTTTTTCATTCAACTTGCCCGCAAATGTGATTTTATATATACTGTCATATATTTCTAACTTATATAAATAATGCAAAGTAAAAGATGTCCTTGAGTTTATAAGGTAAAAAATATTTTTGTGTGTAGCTACACATTGTATATTTTATATTGATTGTATGTCAGATTTCTATTATAGAAAGCAAATCATACTATTTAGCATGAGATCATCTTCATTTAGATACACCATAGGTCAAAACACAGATGTTTTGTCTTCATTGTTGCTCTGAGAAACTATGATTCCTACAAGAAACATTCCCTCCACCATCAGTAAAATAAGATGCTATGAAAGAGGTCAAAGTATTTGACGTCTAAATCAGAAGGTATTTTCTTTACTTCTGCCATATTTCTATATGGTTACATGGGGATATATAAGCAAAACAGGTCTCAATGAAATTGAATTGCTTTGTGGCAAATGCATTGAATAAATATACATTTATTGAGCAGCTACTATATTCAAAGCACTGTGGTAGGCCTGGAGATACAAAATAAACATGACTTGGTCTCTTCCTTAGAGGGGCTCACTCTTCATAAGACTTAAAAAACAAGAAATAGATCCAATGCACTCTTTTAAACTAATAACAAAAAATCAAGGAAAAGTAAAATAGATGCTTGTGAAAAGCCTCTTTGCAGAGTGAAATGGAATACTACATATTATGTAAGCATACCAATGAAAACATTATCAGTATATATAATGCTGGATGACGGCTATTTAAATATCCAAATTGAATGAACAAATGATGGCTCACAATAGCCTCAACCTCCAGGGCTCAAGCAATTCTCCCCACTTTGGCCTCCCTAAATGCTGGAATTACAGGCGTGAGCTATCTGTGCCTGCCTAGATGATCCATTTTTTGACTATGGAAGATATGAAGCCAACAAGAATCACATAGACATCATTATCACCACTGTTTTTTTTTAACTTAGATGCCAGTGCCTCTACTTTTCTCTTTTTCTTCCCTTCCTTGCTTCTTGTTGAACTTCTAATCTCCAGCTATGAGCTCAAAATACAAGGTATACACCAATGCAGATGTCCATGAACACATGAAAGAAACAGAAAATCTACTGTCACTTTCTTGATGCTTTATGAGGCAAACCTAATGAAACTATATTGCTCTGTAAAACAAAGTTGCTTACCATTTTCATATCATATTCCTATTTCAACTTTACAGAATATAAATTAAATGTTTTCTTAGGGCAACTAAAAACTGCTCCATCAAAAAAAAAATCCGCTAGGGCCGGCCACGGTGGCTCACACCTGCAATCCCAGCACTTTGGGAAGCTGAAACCCCATCTCTACTAAAAATACAAAAATTAGCTGGGCATGGTGGTGGGCGCCTGTAGTCCCAGCTACTCAGGAAGCTGAGGCAGCAGAATCGCTTAAACCGGGAGGCAGAGGTTGCAGTGAGCTGAGACAGCACTACTGAACTCCAGCCTGGGCACAGACTCAGGCTGACTCACAGAGCAAGACTCAAAAAATAAATAAATAATCACTAAATAGTCTTTAATATTTCTTATATTTAGTACAGTACCTTCAATATTCATCCTCCTTAGAACTATCTTGAAATCCCTTAGCTGTATACATTTCTCATTAAGAGAGAAAAAATAATTTAATTTAGTAATTATTTAAAAATTTTTTAAAGACATGGGAAAGTTATACTGCCATCTTGTGGTTAAAGTTTGATTACAGAAGCAAGCACTTCTGGCATTTCCCATTCATAAACCAAATCCACAACATAATATGTATCATACTTAAAACTTTTTCCTTACAGAAGGAGTAGGGTTGAAGGAAAAAAATCCTGTTTAGAACTTACATTCAAGAAAAATTATTATTCATACATATACCCAATTTCTTATGTTAAAGGCCACTGAATTAAAACAAGAAATGGCATTTGAGTCCCAGATACATAAATAAAACCTACGTGTTTGGCACTGTAGCTCCTGTTTAGAGATGTTTATAATTTATTATGACTATAATACATACCCTAGCCCTAATAACTTTGAAAAACAAAATTATGGAATCTAGGAGTTTCAGGTAATCTCTAAGATCTACAAGAAATTATGACATTTATCCTAAGCTTATCAATGATTTCTATTTTATCCAGGACTCTAATTCAAATTTTACGGCAAGAACCAACATAAAGAAAATAAATATTATACAAATAAAAACAGTTTCTTCCATCCCTCTTTCTTACTCATATACATAAACCCATTTTTCCATACATACACAGGTATGAATCACAATTAAAAGAAAAATTAATTCCCAAAGTACAGTCTGTATTTTTCAAGTGTAGAATTCTCTATGATCTATGCAAGGCAAAGATGCTTTGCAATAGTGGAATGTAATCAGAAGTTAACACACTTCTAGATCTAACTATATCTGCAGAAAGCTTTTCCTTTTAAAAAGAAAATAAAAAGCAAATCACCAAAATTATAGGAAGACAGCGCCATCTATAGGTCTGCACAAGTACAGAATAGTAATCTTAGTTTCAGATATAAATGTCCACTGTGATAAACTAGCCAATCAAATGTGCTGTCCTAGGCGGACGCTCCAAAATAATGCTGCTCATTCTCAGATCTCTGGAGAGGATCTTGCAATTTACTCCAAAGTGCTTTAACCTGCCTCTACAATCATGCCCCAAAATGATAGTGATAATAACAGCAATAGAAGCCTCAAGCAATCAGAACAAAAACTAATGTTTTTCACAATTGTATTATTCTGATTTGGCATACTTGATGGTCGATAAATATTGGTAACTTTTCAAGAAATATTAGCACATTGGTAGGTTCTCTCTCTCTCTCTCTCTTTCTCTTCATTCTGCAAAATTACTTTGGGCCATGATTCTATTTTAGGTGTCATCCAATTCTATCGAGTTCTATTGAATTTCATTCTTCTTTCTCCAAAGAGGAGGCTATACGTTCTCCCTACAGTAGTCTATTCTAGTTTTTACAGACATTAAATTACATGCGACTTAAGATTCCCTCCTTTTTCAGACAGGCCCCTCCTGTCCACTCTTGGGTTGCTCTCACTCTACTGAGTCACACCAGTATCTTATTAGTTGTGTGCGAATTCAGTTAACAATACGTGAGGGTGGAGGCTTGGCCCACTTCCTGACCAATTGCCTGTAGCATCTGGCAGAAAAAAAGATGCCGCATTAATGCCAACAGAGGCACTGCTGGTTAATATGGAGAATTTCATACTTAAGCTATGGCTGGCATTTAAAAATCTGCAAAAACAAGAAATGGACTTTTGTACAAGGGCAGACCCTGTTTGTTCATTAACACTCAAGTTCAAGAAAAAGCTGTGGTATTTAACATAACCAGAGAGAAAAAGAAGACTTATGGGGGCAATACTTGAAGGGGCTGCTTACCTGATTTCTCATTCTGCACACTAAGAGGCAGGGTGGAGTAATGGATGAGAGCTCAAGCTTTGAAAGCAAAGAGCAGAGTTTGAGTCTGTGTCTGTCATCAGCCTTGAACAAGATATTTAATTTCTCTGAGCTTCACTTTCCTCATCTTCAAGAAATTACAAATTGGCTCATGCCTGGAATCCAGCACTTTGGGAGGCCAAGGCGGGCAGATCACTTGAGGTCAGGAGTTCAAGACGAGCCTGGCCAACATAGTGAAACCCTGTCTCTACTAAAAATACAAATATTAGCTGGGCAGGGTGGCATGTGCCTGTAATCCCAGCTACTTTGGAGGCTGAGGCAAGAGAGACGCTTGAACCCAGGAGAAGGGGTTTGCAGTGAGCCGAGGTCACTTCACTGCACTCCAGTGTGGGCGACAGAGAGAAACCCCATCTCAAAAATAATAATAATAATAGAGATTATTTAAGCAAAGTAAGATGCTTTGCACATAGTAAGCATTCAGTAAATGTTAGCACTCAAAAGATAAGATTTATCTTACTTTTTAAAATCTTATCATACTTATTGACTATGATAGTTAGGAAGGATCTACCCAACCCAAACAAATATCCCAGGAAGTTCATTGTGACTTCTAAAGATGACAAAAAGAATGAATGAAAAGACTGAACTCAAAATAGAAATGAGAAAATGATAATTTGTTTGAAGGTCTGATATTAGTTTCAAAATATATCTCTGAAACATCTTTGAAAACCATTAGCGTCCACTGACTCTCAATTTCATTTTATTTCAATTTTTTTTTTTTTTTGACAGAGTCTCGCTCTCTCACCCAGACTGAAGTGCAGTGGCACAATCTCAGCTCACTGCAACCTCTGCTCCGGGTTCAAGCAATTCTCCTGCTTCAGCCTCCTGACTAGCTGGGACTACAGGCGCCTGCCACCATGCCCAGTTAATTTCATTTTATTTCTGCTATATACCTTAAAAATGTGAGCCTGCAGAGCGCAGAGAAGTCAGAAACACAGTTCTGGAAGTCACCTGCAAACAGACAACACTGAAGCCAAAGAGTGGATGGGTTTGTTTGGGGAGTTAGAATGTGTAAAACACAAGAAGAAAAAAACTAAATAAAATGAATTTAAAATAAATTTTTAAAAGACTGTGTAAAGCAAAAAACTTACAAACATGTAGAATATCAATTTTTGAGGAAAGGGAAAGTGGAGACAATAGAAGACTAATCAAATAGGGGAGAAAGGTTCAAGATGGTTGAGTAGGATTTTCTGGCTCTACTTAGAAGAACTGGAATAGTATATAGACAGTCACACTTCAAATACGTTATCCAAGACAGAATGCTGATGCTCAACACAGAAGAGACAGGAAACACCAAAAGTGGGGAAGGAGGAAAAGAGGCAGCATCCCTGGTCAGGACTGGCTAAGAGCTGGGAGTGACTTCCTAACATGAGGAAAGGGTGAGTGACAGACTTCCAGCAGCCCACATCCCCACCATCAGATCATGCAATCCTAGCCACAGGAGAGCCCCTTGACCATCCCAAGCCCTGAAACTAACACAGGAAGTTGATGGGAGACGAAGGGACAGGGCTGCTCCAGGGAGGGAGCTCCCACACCATTTATAAGACCTAAGAAGCTACAGGAAGGTGCCATTTTCAAAGCTAGCCTCTCATAAACTGCACACTGTCCTTCAGGCCAGCAGCACCAAGACTGAGACATTACAAAAGCTCAAGTTATCACTGCTGGAATGAGGAGTAAGATGGGAGCATTCCCACAGCCAGGGATAAGAAGCAAGCAAGACATGAGCTGCAGCAGCCAGTGCCAGGAAGCGGGTGCTGTCAGGACAGAGACTGGCATGTAAGTGAGCAGAATGAGTTGCTGGTGGGACTTGGTTGCGAGTTGGGTGGGTGCTCCTACAGCTGGGGTGGGGGAACAAGCTAAGCATCAGCTACCACTGCCAGGGTAGGGGGTGAACCCCCAGGACTGGGGCTAGAAAGAAACGTGCATTCCCTACCCACTGGCCCAGGCTGTTGCCACAAAGACAGCAGCTCCCTCTCCAGTGGTGGGGCCTCAGCATGGCTGCTACTGTCTCTAACACAAGCACTTAGCCTGAGGCCTAAGGATCATCCTGGCCACCACAGCTGGTGCCTGCTCTCACCACAAGCCCCACGAGCCTAGCTTCGCTCCTTCACTTCTCCCACCTTAACAGAGCACATAGCCCAGGGTCTCGACTGCTATCTCCTCAGCTGACCTATCTGCAAGCCCCACCTGCAGGACTGGAGACTTCCCCACCCAGCACATCACATCTACTGTCAACATGAACACACACCACTCAGGACCCAGAGAATCATCCCACTACAGCTTCTGCCATCATCCATGCTATACTGGCTGCCAGGTGATTGAAAACACACTCTATGACCCAGTTTACTGCTGCCATTATCAACATCTGAGCAAGCCACCTAGAGGCCCAAAAATCAGACCTCTAGTAACCACAAGTACAGGTGGCAGCATACGTCACCCTGGGGCACAAAGATAGGGATACTCAACCCACCACTGTCATCACTGGTGCCTGGAAACTGGCCCACCTGGCATCTTAGTCCCCAAGCAGAACATCACCACAGACTCCACTAATAATTGCACCCCAACCCACACAGATATCACTAATCCTGTTTAGAGCCAAAGAAATCATACAAAGACTACACTGCTGCATGCCCTCAGAATTAAAAGCCAAAGTGCCCTACCTAACAAACACTAAAGCTAGGTCTTCTGGAAGAAGTCCTCTCCTACAAAAGTAAGTTCAAAAATAGGAAGACGTGATTGTTACACCAGATGTGCAGATATAAACATAAAGACACAGGAAACATAAAAAAAAATCAATGAAATATGACTCTCCAAAGGAACACAACAATTCTCCAGTAACAGTTCTTAATCAAAAAGACATTTTCAAAATCCCAGTATAATGCAAAATATTGATTTTAAAGAAACTCAGTACAAAGACAACAGAAAAACAATTCAAGATATGAGGGAAAATTTTACTAAAAGATAGATTTTTTTTTTTTTTTTGAGATGGAGTTTCACTCTTGTTCCCCAGGCTGGAGTGCGATAGCATGATCTCAGCTCACTGTAACTTCCACTTCCCCAGTTCAAGCGATTCTCCTGCCTCAGCCTCCCGAGTAGCTAGGATTACAGGCATGCACCACCACACCCAGCTAATTTTGTATTTTTAGTAGAGACAGGGTTTCTCCATGTTGGTCAGGCTGGTCTCAAACTCCCAACCTCAGGTGATCTACCCGCCTCAGCCTCCCAAAGTGCTGGGATTATAAGTGTGAGGCACCACGCCCGGCCGATATCTTTTTCGAAAACCAAATAGAAATTCTGGACCTGAAGAATTCATTGAAAGAAATAAAAAATACATTTGAAAACTTTGGTAATAGAGTAGATGAGGCAGAAGAGAAAATCTCAGAACTAAAAGACAGCTCTTTTTTTTTTTTTAAGATGGAGTTTCACTCTGTTGCCCAGGCTGGAGTGCAGTGGCACGATCTCAGCTCACTGCAACCTCTGCTTCCGAGATTCCAGCAATCCTCCTACCTCAGCCTCCCAAGTAGCTGGACTACAGGTGTTTGCCACCATGCCTGGCTAATTTTTGTATTTTTGAAGAGACTTGAAAGAATAAGCAAGGCTTCATGACATTTGGGGCAACATACAGTGACTGAATTTATAAATTATCAGTATCCTAGAGGACAAAGAAACAAAGAGAAGATTAGAAAACTTATTTAACAAAATAAAATAAGTCTAGCAGGAGATGTAAGTCTAGCAAGAGGATATTCAGATACAGGTGGCTCAACAATACCTAGGAAGATACAATGCCAAAAAGTTTTCACAGCACATTATAATCAGACTGTCTAAAGTCAAAGATAAAAAGATAATTCTAAAAATAACAAGAGAAAATCATCTAGTCACCTATAAAGAAAACTCCATCAAACTAACAGTGAATTTCTTAGCAGAAACCTTATAGGCCAGAAGAGAATGGCATGATATAGTGATAGTGGCAAGAGAAAAACAAAACAAAACCCAAAAAACTTTCACCCTAGAATACTATACCCAGCAAAATTATAGCAAAATTATTCTTCCTAAATGAAGGAGAAATAAAGGCATTCCCAGACAAGCAAATGCTGAAGGAATTTATTACCATTAGATTGGACCTAGAAGAAATGGTCAAGGGAGTCCTAAACCTGGAATTGAAAAGATTAGATTTACCATCACAAAAACACACAAAAGTAGCCCAGCCCTGATGGTTCATGCCTGTAATCCTAGCATTTTGGGAGACTGAGATGAGTGGTCCACCTGAGGTCAGGAGTTTGAGACCAGCCTGGCCAATATGACGAAACCCTGTCTCTACTAAAAATACAAAAATTAGCTGAGCATGGTGGTGCATGTCTGTAACCCCAGCTACTCAGGAGGCTGATGCAGGAGAATCACTTGAACCCAGGAGGCGGAGGTTGCAGTGAGCTGAGATCGCACCACTGCACTCCGGCCTGGGTGACAGAGTGAGACTCCATCTCAAAAAAAAAAAAAAAAAAATACACGAAAGTATAAAACTCACTAGTAAAGCAATCACACAAAGGAGGAAGAGAAAAGAATTAAATGGTATTACTACAGAAATTCACCAAACCGCAATGACAAATAATAAAAGATTCACAGGTTCTAAAGACTGGGAAAATAAAATTAATTAATTAAAATAATAAGAGAAAAAGAAAGGAACAAAGAGTATACAAAGCAAACAGAAAACAATTAATATGACAGGAACAAAGCCTCACATATCAATAATATCAATAATAATCTTGAACATAAACATTAAATAATCCACATAAATGATACAGAACGGCTAAACAGATTTTTTAAAAACTATCTTCCAACTATATACTGCTTACAAGAAACTCAACTTATCAATAAAACACATATAGACTAAAAGTAAAGGAAAAGGAAAAGACACTCCAGACAAACAGAAACCAAAAGTGAGCAGGAGTAGCTACAATTATATCAGCTAAAACAGGCTTTAAGTCAAGAAGAGTAAAAGAAAGACAAAGATGGTCATTATGTAATGATAAAGGGAACAATCCAACAAGAGGATATAACAATTCTAAATATATGTGCACTCTATACTGAAGCACCCAGATTCATCAAGCAAATAAGACTAGATCTAAAGAGAGAGATAGACTCCAACACAGTAACAGTGGAAGACTTCAACACCCTACTTTCATCACTAGACAGATCATCTACACAAAATATCAACAAAGAAACACTGAATTTAAACTGCACATTAGATCAAATGGACCTAACAGATATTTACAAAACATTATATCCAACAAGTGCTGAATATACATTCTTTTCAGCCACACATGGCACATTCTCCAGGATAGACCATATGTTACGCCACAACACAAGTCACAACAAATTTTTAAAAATAAAATCATATCACGCCCAGCACGGTGGCTCATGCTTGTAATCCCAGCACTTTGGGAGGCCAAGGCAGGTGGATTGCTTGGGGCCAGGAGTTTGAGACCAGCCTGGCCAACATGGGGAAACACTATCTCTCCTAAAAACACACAAAAAAATTAACTGGGCATGGTGGTGCATGCCTGTAATCCCAGCTTCTTGGGAGGCTGAGGCACGAGAATTGCTTGAACCCAGGAAAACAAAGGTTGCAGTGAGCCAAGATAGTGCCACTGCACTCCAGCCTGGGTGACAGAGCAAGACTCTGACTCAAAAAGGAAAAAAAAAATCATATCAAGTATCTTCTCAGACCACAATGGAATAAAATTAGAAATCAATAGTAAGAGGAACTTTTGAAACTATTCATATACATGGAAGCTGAACATGTTCCTGAATGACCACTTGAGTCAATGAATAATTAAGATGGAAATGGAAGAATTCCTTGAAGCAAATGAAAATGGAAACACAACATACCAAAACCCATGGGATACAGCAAAAGCAATGCTAAGAGGGAAGCTTATAGCACTGAATAACTACAGCAAAAATAGCAGAAAGACTACAAGTTGACAATTTAACAATGCACCTCAAGGAACTAGAAAAGCAAGAACAAACCAAACCCAAAACTGGCAGAAGAAAAGAAATAATAAAAAACAGAGCAGAACTAAATGAAATAGAGACAAAGAAAACAATATAAAGGATAAACAAAACAAAAAGTTGGCTATTCAAAGGATAAATAAAATTGATAAACCACTTAGCTGGACTAACCAAGAAGAGAGAAGATCCAAATATACAAAATCAAAAATCAAAAATGAAACATTACAACTGATACAACAGAAATATCAAAGATCATCAGAGACTGTAAATAACTAAATGGTGACAAATTGGAAAACTAGAGGAAATTGATAAATTCCTGTAAACATACAACCTACAAAGATTGGATCAAGAAAAGATAGAAAACATGAACAGAACAATAACAAGTAGCAAGATTGAATCAGTAATAAAAGTCTCCCAACAACAACGACAAAAAGGACCTGCTGAATTCACAGTCATATTCTACCAAACATACAAAGAAAAACTAATACCAATTCTCCTGAAACTATTGCAAAAAACTGAAGAGGAGGTAATTCTCGCTATCATTCTATGAGACCAGTATCACCCTGATACCAAAACCAGAAAAGAACAGAACAAAAAGAGTAAACTACAAGCCAATGTCCCTAATGAACATAGACATAAAAATCCTCAACAAAATACAAGCAAACTGAAACCAGCAGCACATCAAAAAGATAATACACCATTATCAAACAGGATTTATTCCAGGGATGCAAGAATAGTTCAACATATGCAAATCAATGATCAAGCTCTATCACATCAACAGAATGAAGGACAAAAACCATATGATCATCTCAATAGATGCAGAAAGAGCATTTTATAAAATTCACCATACTTTCTTGATAAAAATTCTTAATAACTAGGCATATAAGGAACATACCTCAAAAAAATAAAGGTCATGTATGACAAACTCATAGCTAGTATCATACTGAATAGCAGAAAGTTAAAAGCCTTTCCTCTAAGAACCAGAACACTGGTTCTGGATGCCCACTTTTACAACTCCTATCCAACATAGTACTGGAAGTCCTAACCGAAGCAATCAGCCAAGAGAAAGAAATAAAAGGCATTCAGATTGGAAAAGAGGAAGTCACAGTGTCCCTATTTTCTGATGATATAATCTTGTATCTAGAAAAAACTTAAAGATTCCACCAAAGAACTGTTAGATTTGATAAATGAATGTAGTAAACTTTCAGGATACAAAACCAACATACAAAAATCAGTAGCATTTCTATACACTAATAGTTATCTAGCCAAGAAAGAAATCAAGAAGGCAATCCCATTTACTATAGCTATAAAACATATAAAATACCTGGAAGTAAATATAATTAAAGAGGTAAAAGATCTATACAAGGAAAACTACAAAACACTGTAAAAGAAATTAAAGATGACACAAACAAATGGAAAAAAATCCTATGCTCATGGATGAGAAGAATTAATAACAATAAAATGACAAGATTGCCCAAAGCAATCTACAGATTCAATGCAATCCCTATCAAAAATTTGGCTTCACGGAACAGAAAAAAAAAAATCTTAAAATCCATAGGGAATCAAAAAAGAGGCAAAATAGACAAAGCAATCCTGAGCAAAAAGAACAAAGCTGAGGCATCACATTACCTGATTTCAAAATACAATGCAAGGCTATAGTAACCAAAACAGTATGGTATTGGTATGAAAAGAGACATATAGACAAATGGAACAGAATAGAGAAACTAGGAATAAATCCACATATTTACAGACAACTCATCTTTGACAAAGCTGACAAGAGTCTCTGGGTGGGGAAAGAATACGCTCTTCAAAAAATGGTACTAGGAAAATTGGATAACCACATGCAGAAGAATGAAATGAACCCTTTTCTCTCACAATATACAAAAATCAACTCAAAATGGATTAAACACTTAAATATACGACCCAAAACTATAAAAATACTAGAAGAAAACCTAGGGAAAACTTTCCTGGACATTGGTTTCAGCAAGGAATTTATGACTAATACCTCAAAAGTACAGGCAACAGAAACAAAAATAGACAAATAGGACTTAAACTAAAAAGCTTCTGCATAGCAAAAGAAATAATCAACAGTGAAGAGACAACGTGTTGAATGAGAGAAAATATTTGCAAACTATTCATCCAACAGGCAACTAATATCCAGAATATATAAGAAACTCAAACAACTCAAAAGGACAAAGATAAATAACATCATTAAAAAGTAGGCAAAGTACACGAATAGACATTTCTCAAAAGAAGACACACAAATACATATATGAAAAAATGGTCGGCATCACTAATCATCAGAGAAATGCAAATCAAAACCACAATGAGATATCATCTCTACCCAGTTAGAATGGTTATTATTAAAATGACAAAATTAACAGATGTTGTTGAGGGTGCAGAGCAAAAAGAACTTACACTCTGTTGATGAGAATGTAAACTAGTATAGCCACTATGGAAACCATACAGAGATTTCACACAAAAAAAACTAAAAATAGAATTACCACTCGATCCAGCAATTCCACTACTGGGTATCTACCCAAAGGAAATGAAATCCACATATCAAAGTGATAGCTGCACTTGCATGTTTATTGCAGCACTATTCACTATAGCAAACACATGGAATCAACCAAAGTGCCCATGAAAAGATGACTGGATAAAGAAAATGTGGTATTTATAGACAATGAAATACTATTTGGCCATTAAAAAATACTAAAATCATGTCATTTGCAGCAACATGGATGAAACTGGAGGTCGTTATCTTAAGAGAAATAAGCCAGGCACAAAAAGACAAATATTGCATGTTCTCACTTATACGTGGGAGCTAAAACATTTGAACGCATGGAAGTAGAGTAGAAAAATAGATAACAGAGGCTGGGAAGGGTGAGAGAGGCAGGAGGGCAAGGATAAAGAGAAGTAGGTTAAAGAGTACAAACATACAGTGAGATAGTAGAAATAAATTCAGGCCAGGTGCGGTGGCTCACGCCTGTAACCCCAGCACTTTGGGAGGCTGAAGTAGGCAGATCACTTGAGGTCAGGAGTTCGAGACCAGCCTGGCCAACATGGTGAAACCCTGTCTCTACTAAAAATACAGAAGTTAGCTGGGCCTGGTAGCATGTGCCTGCAATCCCAGCTACTCAGGAGGCTGAGGCAGGAGAATCGCTTGAACCCAGGAGGCAGAGGTTGCAGTGAGCAGAGATGATGCCACTGCACTCCAGCCTGGGCAACAGAGTGAGATGTCATCTCAAAGAAAGAAAGAAGGAGGAAGAGGAGGAGGAGGAGGAGAAAGAGGAAGGGGGTGGGGAAAAGGGGGGGCAGGTGGAGGGGGCGGGGGGGAGGAGAAGAAATAAATTCAATGTCTCATAGCAGAGTAGGATGACTATACTTAAAATGTATTATATTTGAGTAATAGACACCCTAAATATCCTGAGTTGATCACTATTCATTACATACATGTAAAAAATTTCTCATATATTCCATAAATTTGCACAAATGAAAAAAGAGTGACCAGATAAAAAGAAGAGGGTAAAAATCAATCACAGAGACAACTTTAAAGGGAAAAACTGATCAGTGACGTGAAATTCTGCAAAGATTAGATAAAATTAGGAATGAAAAATAGCAGTTAACAGTTTCGGCATAAAGGTAAACATGGATATGCCAATTATAGCAGGTTGAAGACTGAGTGAGGAACTTTTCAGAAAGGTTGACCATGAAAAGAGGAACACAGGACCATAGCTTGAGATATGGACCATAAATTTGAGAAACACAATATGAGAAAAATACAATAGAATGTCTGTTGTGGGTTGGTCCCAGAAAAAGATATGCTGAAGTTTTAACTCCTGGTACCTGTGAATGTGACTTTATTTGGAAATAGGATCTTTAAGGATGTAATCAAGTTAAAATATGGTCATATTGGATTACAGTGAACCCTAATCCAATGACTGGTGTCCTTATAAGAAGAGGGACACAAAGATAGTGACAGATAGGGAGAGAACGGCCAGGCACGGTGGCTCACGCCTGTAATCCCAGCGCTTTGGGAGGCCGAGGCGGGCGAATCACAAGGTCAGGAGACCAAGACCATGCTGGCTAACATGGTGAAACCCCGTCTCTACTAAAAAAAATACAAAAAATTAGCAAGGCATGGTGGTGGGCACCTGTAGTCCCAGCTACTCGGCAGGCTGAGGCAGGAGAACGGCGTGAACCCGGGAGGCGGAGCTTGCAGTGAGCCGAGATCGCCTCAATGCACTCCGGCCTGGGCGACAGAGCGAGACTCCGTCTCAAAAAAAAAAAAAAAAAAAAAGAAATCTAATATTAAAAAAAAAATTAAAAAGATAGGGAGAGAACACCAAGTAATGAGGGAGGCAGAGATTGGAGTAATGTGTCCACAGGCCAAGGAATACCAAGCGTTGCTGGCAACTGCCAGAAGCTAGGAGAGAGGTGTGGGTCAGATTCTCCCTCACTGTCTCCAGAAGGAGCCAACCCTGCCGACGAAAGAAGAAATTTCTGAAAATTTTCTCCCATTTTGTAGGTTGCCTGTTCACTCTGATGGTAGTTTCTTTTGCTGTGCAGAAGCTCTTTAGTTTAATTAGATCCGATTTGTCAATTTTGGCTTTTGTTGCCATTGCTTTTGGTGTTTTAGACATGAAGTCCTTGCCCATGCCTATGTCCTGAATGGTAATGCCTAGGTTTTCTTCTAGGGTTTACTCATCTAACAAAGGGCTAATATCCAGAATCTACAATGAACTCAAACAAATTTACAAGAAAAAAACAAACAACCCCATCAAAAAGTGGGCGAAGGACATGAACAGACACTTCTCAAAAGAAGACATTTATGCAGCCAAAAAACACACGAAAAAATGCTCACCATCACTGGCCATCAGAGAAATACAAATCAAAACCACAATGAGATACCATCTCACACCAGTTAGAAGGGCAATCATTAAGAAGTCAGGAAACAACAGGTGCTGGAGAGGATGTAGAGAAATAGGAACACTTTTACACTGTTGGTGGGACTGTAAACTAGTTCAACCACTGTGGAAGTCAGTGTGGCGATTCCTCAGGGATCCAGAACTAGAAATACCATTTGACCCAGCCATCCCATTACTGGGTATATACCCAAAGGACTATAAATCATGCTGCTATAAAGACACATGCACATGTATGTTTATTGCAGCACTATTCACAATAGCAAAGACTTGGAACCAACCCAAATGTCCAACAATGATAGACTGGATTAAGAAAATGTGGCACATATACACCATGGAATACTATGCAGCCATAAGAAATGATAAGTTCATGTCCTTTGTAGGGACATGGATGAAATTGGAAATCATCATTCTCAGTAAACTATCACAAGAACAAAAAACCAAACACCGCATATTCTCACTCATAGGTGGGAATTGAACAATGAGAACACATGGACACAGGAAGGGGAACATCACACTCTGGGGACAGTTGTGGGGTGGGGGGATGGGGGAGGGATAGCATTAGGAGATATACCTAATGCTAGATGACGAGTTAGTGGGTGCAGCGCACCAGCATGGCACATGTATACATATGTAACTAACCTGCACATTGTGCACATGTACCCTAAAACTTAAAGTATAATAATAATAAATAAATAAATAAATAAATAAAAAGAAATTTCTGTTGTTTATGCTGCCCAGTTTGTGGTGCATTTTTCTGGTAACCCCAGCAAATTTATATAAGGACTACAGATAATAATGAAAAAATACATATCTGATAGAATATTTACAATGTGTATAAACCATGATAACATCAAAGTGTCAAAATAATTGACACAAACATAATAAAAGATATTAATCACTTGGAAAATAACTATCTTCCAATTTAGATACAATAACAATATGAGAATGAAAACAAAAAAAGGAAATTGGTAAGAAAAATCGATCAAAATCTAGTACAACTGTAAAAATACTGCACCTTTAACCTGGTTCCTTTCATTCATTGCCATTTTAAAGATACCACCAGGGAAGGGTGAGTTGGGAGGAGTGGGGAGGATGAATAAAAGTGGGTTAAAGTGTATAAACATACAGGAAGAGAGAAGGAATAAATTCAATGTTTGATAGCAGAGTAGAATGATAACACTTTAAAATGTATAAATCATTTATACAGTATTGTTGTAAGTATTATCTAATGACTAGAATCCCTGAATATTTTTCTGTCTTCAGAGTAGGAACCTAAGAATATTCTATGGCTTAGACTTTTCATATTTATTTGTTAATATGATCAACAAACATTTCTGAGCCCCTACTTGCTATACTCTGAAACACCTGGTTCTCAATACCCTAAGAAGCTGTAGTCAAGGCTGGGGGCAAAAGGGAGGTGAGGAAGGGCTGGTTTAACCACATGTTTTTAAAATATTGTATAAAAGTTGTTTTAAGTTTTATGTCAGTTGAATCATATAGCCACATATTAAGGGTAGTTACACTTTTAAAACATCTTTCAGGAAGGTAGAGTAAAATAAGAAATCCTTTAAAATGTGGTATGCAACTCATATTTTGTTTGTTCTTAAATTCTGATTTTTGAGAACTAGATTTTCTTAAAGAGAGACAAGATTACATTTTACTTAAAATACATCCTTTAAAGGTATTTTATAATTAATTCGAGCAATAGGGTTGCTTCCTCCTATGTGCTTGAAATAAGGGTTATTTTTTTCTCCCTAATTACCCAGATAATGGGTTCCAGCCACCCTTTGATGTGTCATAAAGGCTCACCTGTTTCAGTACAACCTGCTATTTATTATCAAACAATTACAGTTTCCCAAATCCTGAATTTCCAAAGGTGCCATTTATCCAAATCACACGTGCATCCCCTTTGCACCATTTTGCAAAAGAATTTTCCTTGATCAAAATTTTAACCTTGATTACCCCCTGGTGTATCAGCCCTTTTATTACGTAGTTCAAATTAAAATCCAAAGGACTTCTAGTATACATACTATTAAGGCATCTATTTTAACTGTATTTTAACTATTAGAGTAAGAAAAAGGAGTAATCTTGTGAAAATGAAGATATGTAAGAAATTTGAAAACATCCTATATCTTTTTATTAGCCTTTTCAGGTTAAAAGCCTTGGACTCTCTCCCTATTAAAATATCACAGCATTTGCATATACTCTCAGATAATTAATCTCCCAAAAGCCTATTCATTAATTCCAGATTTCCCTCCCTCAAAAAAGTCTTTCATTTCACTCTTATTTGACTCTTTGAAGGTGATTAATGAGATAACACTACACAAAGTACTTGAACTGTGTTTAGTGCAAGATTGGAAAACTTGTTTCCAGAAAACTTTGAACTAAAACAATGAATTTAAATGAAAGCAATGAACTGCAGGGAGATGCACAAAGTAAAAACAGAGTAATTGATGGAGATGTGCTTATAAGCACCAGGGACTGGCTGGGTGCAGTGGCTCACGCCTGTAATCCCAGCACTTTGGGAGGCTGTGGCGGGCGGATCACTTGAGGTCAGGAGTTTGAGACCAACCTGGCCAACATGGCGAAACCTCATCTCTACTAAAAATACAAAAATTAGCCAGGCATGGTGGTGGGTGCCTATAATCCCAGCTACTCAGAAGGCTGAGGCAAAAGAATCGCTTGAACCTAGAAGGCTGAGGTTGCAGTGAGCCAAGATTGCGCCACTGTACTCCAGCCTGAGTGACAAAGTGAGACTCCGTCTCAAAAAAAAAAAAGATACCAGGGACTAAGGTAAGGCTGGAAAGGATGAAACAGCAACCTGGAAATTTTGGAAAATAAGTCAGTCTTGCCAGGATGGTGATCTCACATGCATGATATATAGAAGGTGATAATGCTGTAGAAGGCATTCAGAGTGGGACTGGCAGACTTTGGGGAATATGAGTAAAAGATTCTGGGAGGCAGGAGGAGGGTCCTGGAGTTGCCACTATGGAAGAAAATTCAGTGTGGACAAGGCTTAGGAGTGACCTCAGGAGGAAGCCTGACAGGTCCTAGTAAGAGCAGGACCACTCAGGGGGCTAAGATAACATTGTCACAGACCCTGGGAGGTTCTGAGGTTGGGTACAAAATCCCTGTGAGAGTCTGGGGAGAATGACCATCTGAGTGGGCCTGATCTTATATGACATGGGAAATAAGAACTACCCCGTGGTCTTTGGGAACACAGGGAAGGGTCCAAACTGATCATTAGGAAGAATGGGAAAGTCTGAGATGGACCCATGCTCCTAGCTCCAAGTTAGAGTTGATCAAGTACATGACAGGGGAGCCTCCTAGAGCCCTGTTGATATGCAGACAGAGTAATGATGTCATATGCAGGGGCTGCTGAGACCAGAGATCTTGGGATCCCTAACATGTTTAGGGGAATTCTGTCAGACCTTATGTCAATCCATTTGGTGTCTTTGTGAGAAACAGAAAAAGGTGTCCCTTCCCCCAAGTGAACACGTCTGTTCTAGGATGCACAAATCACGGAGCAGAGCATGTGCTAGATTTCAATTCCTACTTGCTCTCATGTCCAGATCCCTTTTTCAGTCCACAATGTGTCCAACTACATGTAGAGGCCCTGAATGGATGGAGAAGTAAAATAACTAAATTTTCTCTTGGCTAAAGGATAATGTTTGCCTAGATAGATGAAATGATTTGGAGTGAGCAAGGTACTACTTAATGGAAAGTCTGTATGGATTGTATTTGTAGGTAAAACAGTTATTTTAAGGAATATAAACTAATTACAGCTACAGCGATTATAAGAGTAGACTTGACTTCGTCTTTCCAACTCCTATAGAAATGGTTGCATGTATGTGCAACTATGGCATGTTCATTATTCCCCTGCGCATCAGTTTCTTCGTCTGTAAGTGGGGATTATTATAGTGCTTGCCTTGTGAAGTTGTGGAAAGGATTAAAAGTGTTAACACATGTAAAGCTTAGAACTGGATCCGGCATTTAGTATTTACTCAATAAATATTAGCTTATTTTATTATTTGCATCATTCATATGCTAATGAAAATGTTAAAGCTGGGTGGACTGTAGAGTCCATCTTGGAAACACTTATGCAGAAAATCATTTTCAATCTGGGCCTTGGAAAATGGATGGAATTTCAATAGGTAGAGATATATCTTCTTGATGAAGCTAGGAAAGTTCTTTGTAGGTGTTTTGAAGCCATTAGGCAAACAATTAGTGAGAGGAAATATTTGTATTTTATTTGGCACAATATCTCACCAGTTACCTTCTAATCCTGCTATATATTCTAACAGGGATCGAAAGCCTCTAGTCTTTCAGTTAAGAAAACCTGATGAATCAGATTGTTCCCTTATCTCCATACAAATAAAAATATTAGCTTCAAAAAAGAAAAAAAGTAAGGGGTAAGACATTCTAGGGGATCAGGAATAAAGGTGTAAAGTACTGGTAACAGTCAAGAATTGCCGGCAGACCTGTTCAGCAGAAACTGAACAAAATGTGTAGGAGAGGGTTGAAAAATAAGACTGAAAGCTAAATTGAGGGCATATAACAGGGAGTATGAAATTCATTCTTCTGTCTGGTCAGCAGTGAAAACCAAGAAAGATTTCACTTGCGCAATTTGGCTTTGACCTTCCCCCTCTATAGAGTCTTTTTTTCTCAAAGGTCTTCTACACAGTGCTTCTAAACTTTAAAGTGCAAATCAATGACTTGGGGCCCTTCCAAAAACGCAGATTCCGATATGGTAGTGAAACTGCCATTGCAAAATTGTAACTGAGACAGTGAAATAAATCTGACCTAAGCAACTCCATCTTGCTTCTAACCTCCAAGCTGTCCTTGTTCATTCCTGGGTATAGGCCAAACTAACTTTGGGAGGAACTTCATTTATAGTTTACAGTTTAAAACAAAGATGGTAACAGCCCTTTCCCAAGACAGAACCCCTTCTTGCCTGGAGACTAGACTGCCTTTGTGGGACTAACAAATTAGCCAAAAGATTAGAAATTATGGTTTAGGAGTCATGCAGCTGGAGGTTACAAGATTCTGACCCTTCCCAAGTCGCTCCTGGGGATAACATCACTATTGTGAAGCCTAAGATCAGGGCTTGAGATATTTTGCAGACCCTGCGTTTGATGGATCAGCTGGCATCACCTAGATCTAACTGGTTCTTGTGATCTTGTGGCCCCCACCCAGGAACTGACTCAGCATAAGACAGCTTCGACTCCCTATGATTTCATCTCCGACCTGACCAATCAGCACTCCTGACTCTCTAGCTGCACCGCTCCCCCCACCCCCTAATGCTTGGGGAGACTGATTTGAGTAACAATAAAACTCCAGTCTCCCACACAGCTGGCTCTGAGTGAATTACTCTTTCTCTATTGCAATTCTCTTGTCTTGATAAATCCGCTCGGTCTAGGCAGCAGGCAAGGTGAACCTGCTGGGGCAGTTACAGTAGGTGAGGCCTGGGATCCCACATTTTCAACAAACTTCCAGATGCTACCATACTCCTTCCTGCAGCTCATCCATAGACCATATTTTGAGTACCAAGGGTCTGATCCAGTAACCTCTTCTCATTCTCATCTTTAACCCCTCTGCAATGCTGGTCTTTGTTGATCTTCCTGAAGCTCTCATCATTGGTTTCTCTGACTCTCTCATTATTGGCTTCTGTGATTCTCTCACCTGAATCTTTAAATTTATATGTAAAGACCAATCTTCAGATGTACGCATCAGTTTCTTCTGATGTGTAATGTATTGTCCAGGCTACTGTCAGTGCATCAATCTCTTCAGTATTTTAAATGAAAATATTACAAACCATCTTCTTATAAAAGACAGACCTATATCGTTATAGAAAATACCTATTGCCCATTTCATGGTGTATCTAGTTTCTCTGGAAAATAATCTCCCCTGAGGTTCCCCACCTCACCCGCCCCACCAATCTGCATAGGGATTAGCTACAGTTGATTGGTACAGAGGTGGGCCCCTACTAATGCTGGGTTATTTTTAGTCTTTCCCCAGGATTTTGGACTAGAACCGAAAAAAAAAGCAAGTTAGTCTCTCACTCTCTCCAGGAAAAAGAAGTCTTGGGGATCACATTCTGATACACAGACTAAAGAACAACAACAACAAAAAACCCAGCAGTCAACTGTGAGAAAGAGGACTGAGGAGGACACCAGGGGAACACAAGGAAATAGCTTCACAGTGTGGCACTCTGACAACCTTATATCTTCACATAGACCAAGCAGGCAAGGTTAGACCATAATCTGGCCTGAGTCTTGGCAGAATGCCCTGTGATTTCTCCAAGTGAAAGGGTAGATAAGCAGCCTGGGGAGGAGCTGCTATCTTGTGGAAGACTGCCACACGGCCGCTTCTCATCCCTCTCCCTAGTTTCAGTTGAACGCAAGACTTTCCACCTTACCCCCATGTAGGTTACAGCTGCAGATCTCAACATTAAGTCTATAAAACTACGTGGCTGTGGTTTAGAGGTAGATCCTTAACAGCAGAGTGACCCACTCATCCCACCTATCCTCTGGTCTCTTCTGTTCAGTGCTGACTGTGGTGCTATGGGCACAGGGAGCTGGCACCATGATGTCTTGCTTTTGCTGTCTGTATAACTAATAAACTATCTGACTGCATTTGGGCCTGCTTACTCCTTACTAGGCGAGTGTCTGTGGAAGTCTTGCAAGCCATCCCGAAAGGTGTAGTAGTAATACTTGTGGCCCTATTATTACCTGCCTCCCTGCTGCCTTAGGAACACTTGACTACTAAAAGAGAAGAGATGGAGAGACTTCACTTCCTGAGTTATCCTCAGCACTCCAGCCCCTTATTCCAGTTTGTTCCAGGAATGCATCCCAGACCTTGAATTCCACGAGATACCCTGGTATCTCTCCAATAAACCTCCCAGTTTCTTTTCTTTTTCACCTAAGAAAGCCAGAATGTATCTTTGGCCTTTACAAACAAAAGGTCATAACACACACACACACACACACACACACAGAAGTGTTGTATTCATGGACAATACCAGTGATTAGAACTCCAGTGCCAGAGATTCAAATCTATTTTGTTTTTATTAAAATTCTTCCTCTCTTGTGTATTGATTTCTATCTGGCCCTTGACCAAGTATATATAATATGATTAGCCCACATGTACTACAGTGCAATAAAGATAAAGTTTTATGAAAATGTTTTTGGCCAAGTAAAAGAAAATATAATTCTTTTTTACTATTATGAAAGTATAAGTTACTCTAATCATTTATTAATAACTCCATAGTATTAACTATATAAATCAACTATGCTATTTTTTATCTTATAAATATCCTAATTTGCATTTATATTAGTTACATTTATAAGAATATATGATGGAATCACACATATTTATGCCAAATACTTATCACTCAACAAAACAGCATAAGTAGGATCAGAGTTTGATCTACTTTTTTTTTTTGAGACCGAGTCTCGCTCTGTCGCCAGGTTGGAGTGCAGTGGCACGATCTCGGCTCACTGCAACCTCCGCCTCCTGGGTTCAAGCGATTCTCCTGCCTCAGCCTCCCAAGTAGCTGGGACTGTAGCCGGACACCACCAAGCCCAGCTGATTTTTGTATTTTTAGTAGAAACGGGGTTTCACCATGTTGGGGAGGATGGTCTCGATCTCTTGACCTGGTGATCCGCCTGCCTCCGCCTCACAAAGTCCTGGGATTACAGGCGTAAGACACCGTGCCTGGCCGAGTATGATCTACTTTTAACATTCTTTGAGTTTAGCTGTGCCTAATACATAGTATGATCATATAAATTAGCATACAGGTGCTTATGAGTCATCAGTCTTAGCTTAGGATGTTAATCAATTGGCCTCACTTTCTCTTTGGACTAGCTGAGTTTTCTTTCATCAGGGTCATAGACTACAAATCAACGAGTCAGGTACAGAAGACAGAACCTTAGGCATTGCGGAATTTGACCAAAAATGGTAAATAAATTGGTGCAAATTCATCATCACAATTGGAAAACTGAAAGAGCAAGCAGTGGGGCCACTGCAATTATAATAACGGGTGGTGGCTCACGCCTGTAGTCCCACCACTTTGGGAGGTCAAGGGGGTCAGATTGCTTGAACCCAGGCGTTGGAGACCAGCCTGGACAACATGGTGAAACCCTGACTCTACAAAAAAAAAAATCCCCTTCCCCCACCTCCCCAAAAAACTAGCCGGGCATGGTGGTGGGCTCCTGTAGTCCCAGCTACTCTGGAAGCTGCAGTGAGAGGATCACTTGAGCCCGGGAGGTTGAGACCAGCCTGGGCAACATGGCGAAAGCCCGTCTCTACAAAAAAAATTAAAAAAAAAAATAGCCGGCATGGTGATGCGCATCGGTAATTCCAGCTACTCAGGAGGCTGAGATGGGAGGATTGCTTGAACCCGGGAGTTGGAGCAGCGAGCCGAGATCGCGCCATGGCAATCCAGCTCCGGTGCCTTCCAGTCTGGGCAACAGAGAGAGACTCCATCGAAAAGAAAAAGGGGGGAGGGGAGGGGAGGGGAGGGGAGGGGTGGGGAGGGGAGGGGAAAGATTTTACAATTTCCTGTAAGCAATGAATGGCTCTAATGTGATATTGATGAAATACCATCTTTAAGAAAGTGTACAGATTGTAAGTGACACGTGGCTGCTTACGTTACTCCTGAGATGCAAGTAGATCATGACATAATGATAACCAGTCATAATTTGCAGTAATCCCTTACAAAAAGTCCAAATTTGTTTGAAAATACAGAAACTTTTACTAGTCGAAGTTAAACATTAAACATTTTCTAGTCATTGCCTTAACAGGATTTATTAGAGTTACTATAATTTATTGAAAGAATGGCTAGATTTATAAAATGTTTTCTGGTTATGAGCCAATTATGGCAATTATTTTAATTATATATTTATAATAAAAATGCATGACTGTAAGATAAAATTTTAAACCAAATCATAATTTATATTTTAAAATAGCTTTAAAATACTTGCACATAACACATGTCGTGGTTAGTAACTTTCTCCAGCTACATTTAAAAGTATTTCTAAGATTAATTACAACATTTTTTTCTAAAGGTTTATTTTTTCCCCACAGCATAACTCTATAAATTAACGTGAGCCCATTATATCAAAGGTGTTTATGTGTGTTACATATGCATTTAATTTTAATATCCTTATTTAAGGCACGAATATCCCCAAGCAAGCACAGTATGCAATAAGAAGTCCTGTGGAGTCCTGTAAGTACTTTGATGAGGAATGCAGGATTTATGTAAGACCTGAGCGAGCTTGAAGAAAGACTCTACAATTGATAAAACTAAGTCAGACCGAACTGGATCATTTTCAAGTAAAATAGGTAGCAAGGCAAAAAGACCGCCTCAAAGTCGCTGCCCTTGGGGCTCTGCCACTTGCTTTACAGGCTAGGAACGGACAATGCCGGGAACCCGAGAGCGGCCGGCGCGGACGCCGAGGCAACTTTACTTGGGGCACCCACTACTCGCAATCAACTCCCGGCCTCCTCTGCTCTCGCGCCTCTAGGGGCTCAAGCACTGCTCCGGGAGCGCTGAATTTTGAGGAAGAGGGCAGAACTTCAGTAAGGAGACCTGTCTGGGCAACGGTTTCAGGACACGCGGTGGGGAAAGCGACTAGCCTCCGGCGGGGCAGGGCGGGCTGTCCTTACCTGCAGAACCACCGGCCACGATCTGCCGAGAAGCCTCGCGCACTAAGCTGACTTCAGGCTTGGCGGACATCTTCGCCAGGCGGGAGGACAAGGGAGTGGGCTGAGATGCGTCAACGAGCTCGCAGCCTGCACAGCCTACTGATCCAGAGAGCCCCGGCTGGGCTGGTCCTCAAGCGCGTTGGCTCCCTGTGGAGCAGCAATCCGGCGACTGCTGGAAAGCGAGGGTTCGAGGCGCAGATTCGTCGCGCGATCTCCGGCGCGTCGGAACCTGTTCGCAGCGCTCTCGCAGAGGCGCCCTCGGCTCCGAAAATGTCTCTGGAAAGAAGACCCGCGGATGGGTTTGGGTTGGCTCACCGCAGCGGCTCAGGCTTTGTCTCCTAGATTGGCGCCCACGCCCTTCTCTATCAGGAGCCTCCGGTAGTTTGTCAAACTAGACGGTTGCCTCTGATAACTCAAGTGAAGTGACCCAGGCCTGGAGCGCCAAGTACAAAGCGGGGACGACACTTGCACCTCCTGGCAAGCCAGAGCACAGTGAGGTTCAAAAGAAGGGACAAGTGAATAAATTCCTCAGTTAGTTGTCCTATAATTGTGGTCTGTAGCAACTAAGTCAAAGCAAATCTAATTTACACTTACCTTACAATAGAGCTAAGGTAGTACTTTACCAAAAATGGTTTTGATTTAAGGTAAAATCATACCTCATCAACTTGAGTTTTATTTACCTAAGGACCAAAAGAAGAAAAAGCCTGGTTACAAATAGTTTCTTCTATACCCAGGTCAGTGGTTCTTAAAAGTGGTTTTAGTACCCACAGCATCAGCATAATTTGTGAATGTGTTAGGAAGTCAAATTCGTGGGTCCCACCCCGACCTAAACGGAATCAGAATCTCTGGGGATAGGGCCCAGAAACGAGTTCTCTGTTGATTGTCATGAACTTTAAAGGTTGTGAACCACTGACTTAAACAATTGAGGAACATTAAGGAACTTAACAGTATATTCTCTCAATAAAATGTTTGATTATTCTTACTAGCCCCTTAGGATAGTTACCAAAACAAAACTACTAATTTATACTCTTTTAAAACTACAAGTTGCCTGTGTTATGTAGGAGAGATATAAGATTGTGAAATTTTCCAAAAATACCTGCCACACCCCTAACAGACAGGAGATGATAAGAGTAAAAGAGAGAATTGGGAGGCTTTAGAAGCCCTATTGTAATATTTCTTAAAACACATTATTTATTGCTAAATATATTTAGTGTGAGCCATGTAAAAATTGCCATTTTTGGAGGTCAAAAACCGTTGAATATCAGCAATTTAGTATGGTTCAATTTATGTGGTTTCTAATCAAATGTACAAAGTACAATAATTTGGTTTCATACTTGATTTTTTATTTCTTAGGCTGAGTCATTAAAAGTTGATCAGTGATATATGGCAAAATTATTTAAAGTGCTTGAGGAATTGGGGAGACTTGCTGCTTATGTGATCAGATATACAAAAATAAAGTTTTTCATTTCATTAAATATTTGATTAAAACTGCTAAGTTTGAAAATGTTTACCAAGAAATAGTTTTCAGAAATTTTGCTAACTTGATAAAGGCTTTTGAGCAATATCTTTCAGACTTTTTACTAATTAAATAGGGAATCTTGAGTGCAATATAGAATCACTTATTCAACAAATATTGAGAACCTGTTATATACTAGGTATAGAAACAGAATTTCAGAGCTCATAGAAAATGTTTTCCTCATTTTTCAAAGCAGAAGCTGAGTTTTCCAAGATCACACTAGGCGTAATAGTATAGCTGGGATTCCATCACAGGACTCC
The DNA here is from genome assembly GCF_000001405.40 of Homo sapiens. Lineage (NCBI taxonomy): Eukaryota > Metazoa > Chordata > Mammalia > Primates > Hominidae > Homo > Homo sapiens. Next base: position 37,174,096 of record NC_000014.9, read on the forward strand.
TTCTTTTGATAGCATTGGATTGTAGATTTAAATATTAACCACAGGCTAAAAAAACTACATTCTGTGACACAAATACCCCCACAAATTAATTCCATTTTTTTTTAGTTTTTAAAAATTTGGTCACAACTATTAAACCCTAGTGCACACACTGAAACAGATTCTACACTGAGAGCTCACTAAGTGTTAGCACTTGCCTAGGTACTGACAATATCACTACAAATCCCTTCCCTGTGGCACTTACAATCTAATGGAGGAGATCCTACCACCTTGTAAGTAAATTTTTGCCTTCCCTACGTTATCCAGGAAATGCAATAATACTTTTAGGTCAAGATTTAAAGACAATCTTTTGACATAATTATTTCCATGAGTGTCTTCCCCTCTGAAGATCTTATCCATGGTAGGTGGGAGCAAGTTTGTGTCTAAGACCCAGCCTCTAAAAAGCTCTGTGGATTCAGTTGGAAAACTCCCAGTTATCCTTGTTAAAAAGTTACTTCCTCTTTTTAACCTCTCCAGACTAGAAGAGATATCTTTGAGTGAAAAAAGCAAGACTTGATATCACATATAATCCAGTCCTATACCTCTAGAATACTAGAGGATATGGGGCCTAGGCATGAGAACATTCTAGAGCTTGGGAGTTAACAAGAGTCAATACAGAGCCAATAAGTACTCACTGTGCTAAACGCTCTGATAATGGAATGTAATTCTTATCTGCAGCTAAATTTGCTCATGGCCAATATTGGAATGCTGGAAGATTTAGTACTGGGAAGCAATGGTAATATTTACTTGACCTATTTCAGATTCCCTAGCCTCTATTACATTGTTGTTCTATTATTATTTGGAATAGTGATGTGATATCCTAATGGGGCAAAACTGCTAAAGTATGAAGATTATATTCTTTAAATTATTGATTTATTTAGCTGATCTTGGTTGATAATTACATGATTATTGACTTCCCTATCGTTTGTCAAGTGGCTAAAAAAACCCTTCAGGAACATAACTGGGAATCTAGGAGTTAAGAAAGCCTCTAAGCCATCAACATGCAGAAATCCATTTAGAACTAATTTTAGAACCAGTTTTTAAAAGGGTGGATATCTGATTTCTTGTTTCATATCAGATTAGAAATAACATATTAAAAGATAATTGGATTGTTTGGGGAGAATAGGGGAGGTTCTAGGAAAGTAAAGAGCAATCTGCAACCTTCAGGCCATATTCAACCTATCTAGTCAATTGTAGTAACAACATTCATTGACTTTACCTTCTCCCAGAAACTGGGCTAATTAAGCATTTTGTAATCCATTATCTCATTCCTGTTTTACAAAGGAGGAAACTCTGGCACTGAGATTAAGTAACTCCCCCAAAATAACACTGAGTATTCGGCTAAGGTATTAATTTGAACGTAAGTATAATTTAGGAGCCCTCTATTTGTTAGGCTATGGTTTTTTGTTTTGTTTTAATTTTTAAAACAATCTTTTTTAGAGACAAGGTCTTTCTATGTTGCCCAGGCTGGTCTGGAACTGCTGGACTCAAGCAATTTTCCCATCTATGCCTCCCAAAGTGCTGGGATTACAGGTGTAAGCCACACCAGGCCTGGCCAGGCTATGTTTATTATTAGACCTTCTATGATTAGGCTATATTATTAAGCTACTATTTATGGGGGTTTTTTATTGTCGTTGTTGTTGCTGCCGTTTTGTGAAATGGAGTCTTGTCCTGTTGCCCAGGCTAGAGTGCAATGGCACTATCTCAGCTCACTTTAACCTCCGCCTCCCGGGTTCAAGCGATTCTCCTCAACCCCCTGAGTATATGGGATTACAGGTGCACACACCACACCTGGCTAATTTTTGTGTTTTTAGTAGAGAAGGAGTTTCACCATGTTGGTCAAGCTGGTCTCAAACTCCTGGCCTCAAGTTATCCACCAGCCTCAGCCTCCCAAAATGCTGGGATCGCAGGCCCAGCCTGTTGTTATTTAAAACAAAAAATGTCTAATAGTGAGGGCATTTCGCCAAGTTGCCTAGGCTAATCATGAATCCTGAACTCAAGCCATCCTCCCACCTTGGCCTTCTAAAATGTTGGGATTATGGGTGTGAGCCCCGGCTAGCATGAATTTTCTAAGTCAGACCAAAGAACTGTTGACAGGTAATTTTTTGTTGAAGGAGGCTGTTCTGTGCATTGTTGGATATTTAGCAGCGTCCCTGACCTCAGTCCAATAGATGCCAGTAACAACTCCCTCCCGATTATGATCACCAAAAATGTCTCCAGACATCGCCAAGTGTTCCAGAGGTCACTTCTCTGATATCATTTTATTTAACTTTCCAACATTTGGGAAAAAAAAAAAAAAAACACCTGACCACCCTTTGTTTAAAAACTTTCTTTTCTGATTGTGTCAAAATTAAAGGGCTGGGCACAGTGGCTCACGACTGTAATCCCAGCACTTTGGGAGGCCGAGACAGGCAGATCACCTGAGGTCAGGAGTTCCAGACCAGCCTGACCAACATGGAGAAACCCCGTCCCTACTAAAAATACAAAATTAGCCAGGTGTGGTGGCGTGTGCGTGTAATCCCAGCTACTCAGGAGGCTGAGGCAGGAGAATCACTTGAACCTGGGAGGCGGAGGTTGCAGTGAGCCCAAATTGTGCCATTGCAATCCAGCCTTGACAACAAGAGCGAAACTCTGTCTCAAAACAAAAAAACAAAAAAAACAAAAACAAAAAAAACCTTTCTCCTCTTGGCTTCTATGATACCACACTTTCCTGTATTTCTTACTTCTGTGTGGTCTGATCTTGTTTTTTCCGTTTTCCTCCTACTATACCTAATATCTATTGGAGTGCTCCAGATGTTGGGTATATACTCTCTTCTTTTGTTTATCCATATTCTCTTCTCAGGTAAACTCATCCAGGGCCTTAGTTAAAAGTAATTTTTATACACTGATGACTCCCCAGTTCTTATTTCCAGCCATGGAAATAACCAACGTCCCTGAATCTCCAGAATTATGTATCCAGTTATTTATGTTATATCTTTACTTGAGTATCAAAAAAAAGATAGTTTGCCCTACGCAATGGCTCCCCACCCCATGCGGCGGAAGGATCCCTTGAGGAAAGGAGTTCAAGGCTGCAGTGAACTATGACTGTGATAGCGCCACTGCACTCTAGCCTGGGCAACAGAGAGACCCTGTCTCTTAAAAAAAAAAAAGAAAAGAAAAAGAGATAGCTTAATTTTAACAGAACTTTTGATTGCTGAACCCCAAACCCTTTTTTCCCCACATATTTCCTATTTCTGAAAATGGCATCACTATCCATCGAATAGTTCTAGCCAAAAACCTGGTACTCGTGCCTGATTTTCTTATCTCTCCACATGTAGCCCATCAGCATACCCTGTAAACTTTACCTTCAAATACATCCTGACTTTGTTCACGTCTACGTCCATTGCAACCACCTTTGTTCCAGCCATAGTATGTTTTACCTGGACTACTGGAATCATTTCCTAATTATTCTCTTGGCCCTTATAGTCTCCACTCAGTATTCAGCATTTTTTTTTCTTTTTTTGAGATGGAGTCTCGCTCTGTTGCCCAGGCTGGAGTGCAGTGGTGCAAACTCGGCTCACTGCAACTTCTGCCTCGGGTTCAAGTGATTCTCCCCAGTAGCTGAGATTACAGGCGCCCATCCCCACACCCGGCTAATTTTTGTATTTTTAGGAGAGATGGGGTTTCACCGAGTTGGCCAGGCTGGTCTCATACTCCTGACCTCAAGTGATCCACCCATCTCAGCCTCCCAAAGTGCTGGGATTACAGGCATGAGCCATTGTGCCCAGCCAGTAATCAGCATATTTTTTAACATATAGTAGATCATGACAGTACCTTGTTTAAAAATCCTCCAAAGGGCACAGTAGCCCATCCCAGCACTTTGGGAGCCTAAGTGGGGGCAGATCGCTTGAGCCAAGGAGTTCAACACTAGCCTGGGCAACATGGTAAAACCCTGGCTTTACAAACAAACAACAACAACAAAAATCCTCCAAAGGTTTTCAGTTGCCCTATAAACCAAATCAAACTTATAACGGTCCTTTCAGGGCTCTGTATGAACAGCTCATTTCTATGTCTTTGTCTCATACTGTTTTGCCTCTGATCCAAACACAATGGTTTTCTTTCTGAATTTGAATATTTCAAGCTTGATCTGCCTCATGGATTTTGCATTTGATGTTTATTTGCCAGGAATATTCTTCCCCTTCCCATGGCTAATTTCTTCTTTTCTTTTTTCTTTTTTTTTTTTTTTTTTTTGAGATGGGGTCTCACTCTGTCCCCCAGGCTGGAGTGCAGTTGCACGATCTCGGCTCACTGCAACCTCCGCCTCCCGGGCTCAAGCAATTCTGCCTCAGCCTCCCAAGAAGCTGGGATTACAGGCAGTTGCCATGAAGCTCAGCTAATTTTTGTATTTTTACTAGAAACGGGGTTTCACCATGTTGGCCAGGCTGGTCTCGAACTCCTAACTTCGGGTGATCTGCCAGCCTCGGCCTCCCAAAGTGCTAGGATTACAGGCATGAGCCACCATGCCCAGCTGATTCTTCTTATCAGAAAGGTGTCAATGTCATTGTAGTGGATGATTTTGGTGCCCCACCCAGATCCCTTTACTAAGCTGGCCTGCCCATACCAGCTGCTGTGAGTGTTGATGGCTATGGACTCATAGTTAATTTATTTTCTAGAGAAATGTCCTGTATTAGTCTGTTTTCACACTGCTGATAAAGACATACCCAAGACTGGGTAATTTATAAAGAAAAAGAAGTTTAATGGACTCACAGTTCCACGTGGCTGGGGAGGGCTCATAATCATCTCAGAAAGTGAAAGGCATGTTTCACATGGAGGCAGGCAAGAGAAGAGCATGAGAGCAAAGTGAAAGGGGTTTCCCCTTATAAAACCATCAGATCTCATGAGACTTATTCACTACCATGAGAATGGTACGCAGTGGGGGAACCGCCCCCATGATTCAGTTATCTCCCAGTGGGTCCCTCCCACAACATGAGGGAATTATGGAGCTAGAATTCAAGATGAGATTTGGGTGGGGACACAGCCAAACCATATCATGCCCTCAGCCAAAGAGAAGCTTGTGAAGTCACACACATCACTACCTTACCTGGGAGGTTACATATGTCACCATTTCCCACTTCCCTATGCTGGAGGCAACCCCATAGCCAATGACTGACTGAAATAAAAAGGGGAACAAAATGCTTACCTTGCCTTAAGGTGGGACCAATACAGTAGTCCTTATCTACTGGGAGGAATACATTTCAAGACCACCAGTAGATGCCTGAAACAGCAAATAGTACATTTTTTTCCTATACATATGTATCTATGATAAAGTGTAATTTTTAAATTGGGCACAGTAAGGCTGGGCTCAGTGGCTCACACTTGTAATCTCAGCACTTTGGGAGGCTGAGGCGGGTGGATGGCCTGAGGTCAGGAATTCGAGACCAGCCTGGCCAACATGGTGAAACCCCATCTCTAGTAAAAATATAAAATTAGCTGAGCATGGTGGCACATGCCTGTAATCCCACCTACTTGGGAGGCTGAGACAGGAGACTTGCTGGAACCTGGGAGGCGGAGGTTGCAGTGAGCCGGGATTGCACCATTGCACTCCAGCCTGGGCAACAAGAGTGAAACTCCGTCTCAAAAAAAAAAAAAAAATTGGGCACAGGGGCACAGTAAGAGATTAACAAAAATAATAAAAATAAAGCAATTACAATAATATAATGTAATAAAAATTATGTGAATATGGCCTCTTTCTCTCTCGAAGTATCTTACTGTACTGTACTCAACCTTCTTCTTGTGATGCTGTGAAATGATAAAATGCCTACATGATAAAATGAAGTGAGGTGAATGACATAGGCATTGTGACAAAACATTAGGCTAATACTGACCTTCTGACCATACATAAGAAGGAGGATCATCTGCTTCTTGGTGATTCTGGGTCATCGAGCAATGATGATGTGCATGGATGTCAGGAGCAATGACTAACAGGTTGGGTAGTGTATACATCATGGATAATGCTGGATAAAGGCATGATTCACATCCGAGGCAGGACAGAATGGGATGGCCAAATATTTTATTATGCACTCGAACAACACAATTTAATACTCATGAATTGTTTATTTCTGGGATTTTCCATTTAATATTTTTGGACCACGGTTGACTGCAGGTAACTGAAACTGTGTAAAGCAAAACTGCAAATAATGAGAGACTACTGTACTGTGTTGCAACTCATGCTCCAAGGCTGCCTTTGGACCTGGCTAAGGTTAAACTATAGCTGAGATGGTATCTTTGCTTACCTTTGCAAGAAATCTGTCCATTTCATGTAAGTTATCAAGTTTATTGGCATAAAATTTTAATAATACTCCTCTTTTAATATCTGTAGAATTTGTAGTGATGTCACTTCTTCAATTTCTGATATTGGTAGTCTTCTGTCTTTTTTTCTTTTTTTAATTAACCTTCATTTATTTCGGTATGTCTCCTCTATTTCTTGATCACTTAATTTTATTTGTATTATCAGAGAACCAGGTTTTAATTTCATTCATTTTTCTGTATTGCTTTCCTGTTTTCTATTATACTGATTTCTATTCTTATAATTATTATTTCCATTCTCTCATGTACTCTATTTTATTTTGTTCTTTATTAGTTTCTTGAGGTGGAAGCTAAGGTTATTGAGGCTATTCTTTTCTAATATTGGTGTCTAGTACTATAAATTTCTTCTAAGTACTGCTTTATAGGCATCCCACAAATTTTGATTTTTTTCATTAATCGAAATTATAGGACTTTCCTTTTTTTTTTTTCTTTTTTTTGAGGCGGAGTTTTCCTCTTGTTGTCCAGGCTGGAGTGCAATGGTGCGATCTTGGCTCACTGCAACCTCTGCCTCCCGGGCTCAAGCAGTTCTCCCGCCTCAGCCTCCGGAGTAGCTGGTACTACAGGCACATGCCACCAGGCCCGGCTAATTTTATTTATTTATTTATTTATTTATTTATTTATTTATTTTTGTTTTAGAGTCTCACTCTATCTCCCAGGCTGGAATACAGTGGTGCAATCTGGGTTCACTGCAACCTCCGCCTCCTGGTTCAAGCAATTCTCATGTCTCAGCCTCTGAGTAGCTGGGATTACAGGCACTTGCCACCACTCCTGGCTAATGTTTGTATTTTTAGTAGAGATGGGGCTTTGCCATGTTGACCAGGCTGGTCTCGATCTCCTGACCTCAGGCGATCCAACCGTCTCTGCCCACCAAAGTGCTGGGATTACAGGAGTGAGTCACCGCGCCCAGCGGATTTTACTTTTTTAGAGAAGTTTTAGGTTTCCAGAAAAATTGAGCAGACAGCTGGGCGTGGTGGCTCAGCATGTAATCCTAGCACTTTGGGAAGCCGAGGTGGACAGACAGATCGCTTGAGCCCAGGAGTTTAAGACCAGCCTGGGCAACATGGCGAAATCCCATTTCTACTAAAACTACAAAAAAACATCCGGGTATGGTGGCTCAGGCCTGTAGTCCTAGCTGCTTGGCAGGCTGAGGTGGGAGGATTTCTTGAGTCCAGGAGGTCGAGGCTACACTGAGCCAAGATTGCATCACTGCATTCCAGCATGGGCAACAGAGGGAGAACCTATCTCAAAAAACAAAAAACAAACAAACAAAACAGACAAACAAACAAAATATTGAGCAGAAAGTAGAGTTCTTATATACCTTTCCATCTGCACCCCATAGGGTTTTCTCTTATTGCTAACATCATGCATATAGTGCATTTTGTACATTAATGAATCAATATTGATACATTAATATTAAAGTTCATAGTTTACATTAGCGTTCACTTTTTGTGTTGCGCAGTTCCTTAGGTTTTGACAAATGGTGGTTTCACTTTTTATCAGTTTAAAATGCTTAGAAATTTTCCTTTTGATTTTTTCTTTGTCTCATGGGTGATTTGGAAGCTTGTTATTTAGTTTCCAAAAACTTGGAGATTTTCCAAATAGCATTCTCCTATAAATATCTAGTTTACTGAACTCTGGTCAAAGAACATAGTCTATATGATTGGAATCTTTTAAAATGTATTCGTGTTTGTTTTATGGCCTTGATTATGGTCTGTCTTTGTAATTATTCCATGTGAATCTGAAAATAATGTGTATTCTGCTGTTGATAGGTGGTCTGTTCTATAAATGTCAATTAGACAAGTTGGTTGATACTGTTGTTCAAGTCTTCTGTATCGTTACTGATTTTCTGTCTGCGTGTTCTATGAATTATTGAGAGATGAGTGCTGAAATCATTAATTGTGGATTTATTCCTGTAGTTCTAAAACACTTGGAATCATGTATTTTGAAGCTCTGTTATTAGATATTTAAGAAAGGGAATAGTGGAGGGCAGAGAATCTGATGCTGAGATCAGGAAGAAGACTGAGTTAGTTTTTTTTTTGTTTGTTTGTTTTTGTTTGTTTGTTTGTTTTGAGACGGAGTCTCGCTCTGTCGCCCAGGCTGGAGTGCAGTGGCGTGATCTTGGCTCACTGCAAGCTCCGCCTCCCAGGTTCACGCCATTCTCCTGCCTCAGCCTCCCAAGTAGCTGGGACTACAGGCGCCCGCCACCACACCCGGCTAATTTTTTGTATTTTTAGTAGAGACGGGTTTTCACCGTGTTAGCCAAGATGGTATCGATATCCTGACCTCGTGATCCTCCAGCCTCAGCCTCCCAAAGTGCGGATTACAGGCGTGAGCTACCGTGCCCGGCCCTTTTTTTTTTTTTAATTACATATGTGATAACTGAAAATGAATCATGAAAGGATACCAATTGGGGAGGATCAAATAAACGGTTCACAGATGACATGATTATTGATGTAGAAAATTCCAAGAAGTCAATTTTTTAAACTCTCCCAAAACTAATAAGTTATCATAGCAAGGTTGCTTGATACAGCTTAATATTTTGGAAACCAGTTGTTTTCCTACACGCTAGCAATAAACCACTGGAATTTGAAATTAAAAATACAGTGCTGTGTACATTCGTGCCAAAAAATTGAAGTACTTAGGAATAAATCTAACAAAATATGGACAAGACCTAACAAAACCCTGATGAAAGAAAGAAAAGAAAATATAAATAAATAGATATTCTATGTTCATGAATAGGAAGGCTCACTATGATGTCACTAGATGTCAGTTCTTACCGATTGGATTTATAGATTCAATGCAATTCAGCCAAAATCTCAGTAAGTTATTTTGTGGAAATCAACAAACTGATTCTAAATTTTATATGGAAAGGCAAAAGACCCAAAATAAAACAATACTGAAGATAGAGAATAAAGAGGACTGATCTACTGACTTCAAGACTTACTGAAAAGCTACAATAATCAAGAACAAACAGGTCAATGGAATAGAATAGAAAGTCCAGAAATAGGCTGGAGACGTTGGCTCACACCTATAATCCCAGCATTTTGAGAGGCCAAGGCAGGCGGATCACTTGAGGTCAGAAGTTCGAGACTAGCCTGGCCAACATGGTGAAACCCCGTCTCTACTAAAAATACAAAAGTTAGCCAGGTGTGGTGGCATGTGCCTGTAAATCCCAGCTACTCAGGAGGCTGAGGCACAAGCATCACTTGAACCCGGGAGGTGGAGGTTGCAGTGAACCCAGACCACACCACTGCACAATAGACTGGGCAACGGAGTGAGATTCTGTCTCAAAAAAAAAAAAAAAAAAAAAAAGAAAGTCCAGAAATAGACCCCACCAATACAGTCAATTGATCTTTGACAAAGAAAAAAAAGCAATTCAATGGAGAAAGGATAGTCTTTTCAACAAATGGTGCTGGAACGATTGGACATCAGCATGCAAAAAAAATGGATCTAGACAATGGCCTTTTTCCTTCATAAAAATTAATTAAAAACAACTCACAAACCTAAATATGAGACACTCAATGACAAAACTTTTATAACATTTGAAAACATCTAGGTGATCTTCACTTAGCAATGAGTTTTTAGATTCAACACCAAAAACATGATTCATGAATGAAGAAAGTGGTAAGTTGGACTGTTCATTAAAATTAAAAATTTCTGCTCTGTGAAAGACACTATTAAAAAAATGAAAAAACAAGCCACAGAATGGGAGACAATATTTACAAAATACATATCTGATGAAGGATATGTATCTCAAATATACAGAGTCTTAAAACTCAGCATTAAAAAACAAGCAACCAATTGTACAACATGGTGACTACAGTTAATGACAATATATTGTATTTTTGAAAAATACAGTAGATTAGTTTGTTTGTTTGTTTGTTTTTTGAGATGGAGTCTTACTCTGTCACCCAGGTTGGAGTACAGTGGCACAATTTCAGCTCACTGCAACCTTTGCCTCCTGGGTTCAAGTGATTCTCCTGCCTCAGCCTCCTGAGTAGCTGGGATTACAGGCATGCGCCACCACACCTGGCTAATTTTGTATTTTTAGTAGGGACGGGGTTTCTCCACGTTGGTCAGGCTGGTCTGGAACTCCTGACCTCAGGTGATCTGCCTGTCTCGGCCTCCTAAAGTGCCGAGATTAGAGGTTTGAGCCACCATACCCGGCCTTAGAGAGTAGATTTTAAGTATTCTCACCAAAATAAATAAATAATAAATAAGTAAATAAATATGAGGTAATACATGTGTTAATTAGCTAGATATAACCATTTTAAAATGTATTTTATTTTATTTATTTTTATTTATTTATTTTTGAGACAGAGTCTCACTGTGTTGCCCAGGCTAGAGTGCAGTGGCGCAATTTGGGTTCACTGCAACCTCCGCCTCTTGGGTTCCGCAATTCTCCTGCCTCAGCTGCCCAAGTTGCTGGGATACAGGTGCCTGTCACCATGCCTAGCTAATTTTTGTAGTTTTTGTAGAGATGGGGTTTCACCATGATGGGCAGGCTGGTCTTGAGCTCCTGACCTCAAGTAATCTGCCCATCTTGGCCTCCCAAAGTGCTGGGATTACAGGTGTAAGCCACCGTGCCCGGCCTTAGAGAGTAGATTTTAAGTATTCTCACCAAAAAAGAGATAACTTTGTGAGGTAACACGTGTTAATTAGCTAGCTTTAGCCATTTCACAAGGCATATATATTTTAAAACATCATATTTTACATGAGAAGCATGTAAATTTCTTTTGTTTTGTTTTGTTTTGTTTCATTTTGTTTTGTTTTGTTGAGATGGAGTCTTGCTCTGTCACTCAGCCTTGAGTGCAGTGGTGCAATCTCGGCTCACTGCAACCTCTGCCTCCCCGGTTCAAGCAATTCTCCTGCCTCAGACTCCTGAGTAGCTGGGATTACAGGAGCATGCCACCAGGTCTGGCTAATTTTTGTACTTTTAGTAGAGACAGGGTTTCACCATGTTGGTCAGGCTGGTCTCGAACTCCCGACCTCATCATCTGCCTGCCTTGGCCTCCCAAAGTGCTGGGATTACAGGTGTGAGCCACCGTGCCTGGCCGAGAAGTATGTAAAATTTTATCTGCCAATTTTAAAAACTGCAAAATCATTTTCTAGTAAGGTTGAGCCAAGTTATATGTCTAACAGCAGTGTTTGAGAGTATCCATCTAACCTTAACTTCCTTGCAGTGAATAATTAAAAAAAAAAGGATGTGATATAAATGTGTGTATGTAACATATAATTATAAGCCAATTTGGATGGCAAAAAAAGAAAAGAAAAAAAAAAGAAAGGGGCTAGGGCTAGGGTTTTCACTGCCAGAAAAAAACCAGCAATCCAATTATGGCCCAAAAAATCAAAAACAGGCAAAATGATGTGAATGGACACCTCACCAAAGAAGATAATACAGAAGGCAAACAAGCACATGAAAAGGTGCTGAACACTACACAGTATTCCACTAGGGAATTGCAAATTATAACAACAAGAAAATACCATTATACATCTATGAGAATGCAGAAAACCCAAATCACTGACAACAAATGCTGGTGAGGATGTGGAGAAACAAGAACTCTCAATCATTGCTGGGGGGAATGCAAAATACTACCTCCACTCTGGAATACAGTATGGCAGTTTCTTACAAAACCAAACATGCTATTAACATATAATCCAGCAATTGCATTCCTTGGTATTCACCCAAATGAGTTGAAAACTTATATTTACACAAATACAAAACATATATTTACACACACATAAAAATACATAGATGTCTCTAGCAGCTTTATTCGTAATTGCCAAAACTTGGAAGCAACCAAGAAGTCTTTCAATAGGTGAATGGAGGCCGGGTGCAGTGGCCCACATCTGTAATCTAAACATTTTGGGAGGCTGAAGGGGATGAATTACTTGAGCTCAGGAGTTCAAGACCAGCCTGGGCAACATGGCAAAACCGTGTCTCTCCAAAACATACAAAAATTTAGCCTGGTGTGGTGGCATACACCTGTAGTCTCAACTACTCAGGGGCACTGAGACAGGAGAATTGCTTGAGTCCAGGAGGTCGAGGCTGCAGTGAGCCGAGATTGTGCCACTGCACTCCAGCCTAGATGACAGAGTGAGACCCTGTCTAAAAAAAAAAAAAAAAAAAAAAAAAACCACAGAGGAAAAGAAAAGAAAAAAAAAGGTGAATGAATAAGCAAATACTGTTCAGCCATAAAAAGATAGGAGCTGCTGGGAGCAATGGAATCCCAGCACCTTGGGAGACTAAGGTGGGAGCATTTCTTGAGCCCATGAGTTTAAGAGCAGCCTGGGCAATACAGTGAGACCCTGTCTCTAGCAAAAATAAAATAAAATATAATAAATAAATAAATAAATAAACAAACATGAACTATCAAGTCTTGAGAAGATATGGAGGAAACTTAAATACATATTGCTTAGTAAAAGAAGCCAATCTAAGAAAGCTGTATGCTGTACGATGCCAACTATGACATTCAGGAAAAGGCAAAAGCTATACAGACAGTACAAGAAAAAAAAAGAGTGGTTGCCAGAGGGGTGTGGGAGAGTGAGAGATGAATAGATGAACACAAGGGATTTTTAGGACAGTGAAACTATTCTGTATGATACTGTAATAGTAAATACATGACAGAGTGCTGTTGGCAAACTCTATAAAACTGTACAACACCAAGAACAAGCCACAATGTAAATACAGACTTTAGTTAATAATGTATCCATATTGGTTCATCATTTGTAACAAACACTAATGCAAGGGTCTAAAGCACATAAAATTGGAACAATACAGAGAAGATTAGGCCCCTGCACAAGCATGACACAAATTTGTGAAGTGTTCCATATTAAAAAAATAAATTTAAAAATAAAACAAAAAATAATAAGGGAAACTCTGGGGATGACATGATATAAGATAACTTCTGTACTATCTGATCACTTTTCTTTCTTTTTCTTTAGAGACAGGGTCTCATTCTGTTGCCAAGGCTAGAGCACAGTGCTGTGACCA